>NC_000015.10:86289762-86441278 GCF_000001405.40 Homo sapiens | reverse complement strand
TTCACTAGTTTAAAGGGTTCTTCAACAACAAGTGATAATTATATCCACGCATCCAAATTTACTATAAGAATAACCATCACTCAGGGCTATGTAGTACAGTCACGTGGCACAATAACCACACCGAGCACCCTTTATAATACAGCTCTTGCCAGCAAGCCTTCACCTACCAGATTTGAGAAAATCATCTTTCTTGAGAGATTATAGTAGAATGGATGGTTTCTGTCCCTGTTCTTTAACCATATTTCTAATTCTAAATGTTAGGTCTTTACTCCATCTGTCCTGACCCTTGCTCTAATGTATGACTCTGACCCCAATGTCCACTCCTGACACTGTGTTTGATCTTTTTGTTTCTTGAGCCTGTTTCCTATGCCTGATTCTGATTCTGATGCTTGTGCTACTCAACTCTTTTATCTCATGTCCCAGTAAAAGGCACCTTACTTTAACTATATTCCCTTGGTTCAACTGTCACTTATGAGAATGTTCTGGAGTTTGATGGAAGCTCCCTGGTTTCCATTCCTATTGTGTTTGTGCTGCAGTATTATAGCAGGAGACCATGTCAAAGGCACAGTAGGTACATACTCTACCTTGGGTTAAAGCTTCAATGATATCATTCACGAATATGTGTCTTGGGGCTAACTACTGGACTCATTTCCTTGTCTAGTAAGAAAATCAACCTCATAGGATGGTTATGAGGAATAAATGAGATTGTGGCTATGAAATGGTAGGCACATTGCCTGGAATAAACTGGTTAACTTCCATTAACTGTTATTATTATTATTATTATTATTATTATTCTCCATCCCATGGTGGTGATAGGACAATCACACATGTCAATTTAGCCCTTGATAACAGATTCTTGATCGTACTCTCAACTTCTCCTTTGTTGATGATCTAAAAAGGCTTTTACAAAGACATCAATTTCTGAGTATAGCCAAATAATATATAAACCTACCATAAGTGATTATGTATTCTTAAGCATTTCTCTGGTTGGGCAGATTCTTTTATTATTTTTTAAATTATTCTACCCATCCCTCATGAAAATAGCATTAAGTTTCCTGACCCAAAACATCTTAAATCCCAATGAATGATTTTCAAAGTATCATTTGCTCTTTTTCTTTCATTATTATTCAGCCTACAAACAGTGTTTCCATTTCATAAAAACATGGCAGCACAAGAATCAAACACAAATTATGGTGCAAAATTAGTCAATAAACTTTTATTATATTAGTTCTTAATGCTGTTATTAATATTGTGGGACTTAAAATTAATTTCTATCCAGGGAAAAAATTATGGCTAAAAACTTCAGATATAAGACTGGCTAGGGTACTGATGAAGGCCACTTCAGGAACCCTCTGGCCGTTCTCACTGGGGCCGTGTGCTCTGTGCTCTGACATAAGGATTTTCCCTAAGTAAACTGGGAATGCTTCTGTTTACACAGCCTATCTGCTGTGGGCTGTTTGAGCGACTGAGGCCTGAGGGACAGCAGCTGTTGGAGAGAGGAGGAATTTAACTCATTTCATAACACCTCAAGTAAATGTATTTAATTGAGAACCACAAGAAAATACCACAACGGGATCAAGTTGTTGCTGCCTGGTCATGGTTTGAAAAGTGTTGGATTTCTGTGCTTTGCTCAGTATTGCCTTGTCTCACTCCTGTTGTTGACCCTATTAGTGATCTTTGCTGACTCCTGCTAAACCGAAATGTATTTATTCATTTATGCATTCCTTTATTCATTCTTTCAACTGATAACACATTAAATACTAAGCCTTGGAGAATAAAAAAATGAACATTGTTTCTACTGTCTTCAAATTTATAGTCTACTTGGAAAAAATTAAAATGTACCATACAGGGCCATTAATACTGAGCCATAAGAATGCAGCTCCCTATAGGGAATTCAGCTGAACGAGATGTCATCTCTAAGTGTGGGATATCAAGGAAAGTCATGTGGGGGGAAATGTAATTATACCGGCTGGAGTTTTCAAATTTGCGACCCTTGAGTGATTTTTAAATTAGTTTCAACGTTTAAATATTGGCAGATAACACACACTTAATTTTTTGAATTTCTGACTACCCTTAAATACTGGGGACACTAGCAACACAAGTTTTACATTCACACATAGAAACAAGCAGGAGATGAGATGCTGCTCCCCTGTATACACTGCCCCATTACGACATCCTCATCGGGACTCTTCCACCCATCAGCATTCCCTACCTGGTTGAGTTTGCCACCCGCAAACAAGATTTTCAATAGCAGATAGGGCTTGGTAGGCAGGAGACAATGGAGGAGGGAGAGATGCCAGATAAAATACAGACTATCAGACCATGCACAGTGGCTCATGCCTGTAATCCCAGCACTTTGGGAGGCCGAGGTGGTGGATCACTTGAGGTCAGGAGTTCAAGACCAGCCTGGCCAACATGGTGAAACCCCGATTCTACTAAAAATATAAAAATTAGCTAGGCATGGTGGCAGGTGCCTGTAATCCCAGCTATCTGGGAGGCTGAAGCAGGAGAATTGTTTGGACCCAGGAGACAGAGGTTGCAGTAAGCTGAGATGGCACCACCGTACTCCAGCCTGGGTGACAGAGCGAGACTCCACCTCAAGAAAAAAAAAAAAAAAAAAAGAGACAGATTATCAGTTATATACGAATTTAGATAAGTAGATAAATTTTTAGGATAAGCATATCCCATTAAATATTGCATGGGACATACTTGTACTAAAAACTATTGGTTGTTTATTTGAAATTCAAATTTAACTAGATGTCATGTATTTTTACTTGTTAAATCTGGTAACCCTGGATGGTGATAGAGGAATTGGGGGATAAGGAGGTCATTTCTGATAAAGCGAATGTTATTTTAAGGAGTAGAGAGAGAGATAAAGTATATTCCTGAGAAAGAGAGTATTCCAATCTGCTCAGAGCATGTGATTGTGGAGTATTAGGAGATAATGAGATAATAAAAATAAGAACTTAGGTATATTGAGCATTTCATGTCAGATCTCTCTTACCTAGTTTAGCCTGCCTTTTTCTCAAAATCCACCTATAACATTCACCACTTTATAAAAAAACTGAGGCTTGGCCGGGTGCAGTGGCTCACACCTGTTGTCCCAGCACTTTGGGAGGCCGAGATGGATGGATCATGAGGTCAGGAGTTGGAGACCAACCTGACGAACATGGTGAAATCCCATTTCTACTAAAAAAATACAAAAATTAGTTGGGCATGGTGGCACGCATCTGTAATCCCAGCTACTCTGGAGGCTGAGGCAGGAGAATCGCTTGAACCTGGGAGGCAAAGGTTGCAGTAAGCCGAGATTGCACCATTGCACTCCAGCCTGGGCAATAGAATGAGACTCCGTCTCCAAAAAAAGAGAAAGAAAAGAAGGGAAAAAAAAGAAAACTGAGGCTTAGCTGGATCGTGTACTCTGACCTGTGACATTTGGTTGGCAATTGAGAGAGGCTGGGTTTGACCTCAGATGGCATGAGCTCATCCACTCTACACGCCACTCATGATAGAAACAGAAGGGTGGGAGGAGACAGATGAAGAGACTGGGAGCTCATAAGGGTAGGATTGGCACTTTTTAAAGCCTAACCTCCATCCTGAAGTGCTCACTCCGTGTTAGATGAAACTGTTGATGTTCTTGTAAGAGGCCTAGCACTTTAGTCACCAACCAGGATTAGGATTAGCTGGGCTTGTGACAGACTAGGTGGCGGGACCCAGCTGAGTTGGGGAAACTGCATGCATATTGGGAAAAAAAATGAATTGAAGGTTCAGGATAAGGTAGTTCTTTGAGAGCACCAGACTGTGAAGAAGGGACTACATCTTACTCTGATTTTTAAAATGATGGTGCTCAATAAATGTCTCATAATGGTAACATAATGGAGCTCTGAAGCAGGAGCAGTGCCTCCTCAATCTTATTTAAGCGCTTTCTCTTTTCTCTATTGGAGAGAAGAAGTGGCTGATCACTGGGCTAGTGCTTCACAAAAAGCCAAAATTATTTCTACAAATACCAGGACTCGGAGAGGGGAGTTTTGGTCACAACACCAAGATATTTAGAATTCTATCGAATATTTGACAGCAATATTTATTCTCAGTCTTTCTTATTTAGCTTCTCTAGTCCATACCTTCTTACACACCCTCAGTGTCCTCAAATTAAGCTAACTTATAAAATTATAAAAACCACTCTCTCTGATGATAGCAACTAGGGGAGAAGCTGCTTTAAAAATAGTTTCAATGGAAAATCCCCAAGAAATTTGGAGTCATTTGATGCAAAAAAAAAAAACAAAGTCCTGCTCAAATCCGTCTGCACAATGATGCTTTTTCAAGATTTGGCAAGGCCAGTTTGTTTTACTTTGGTGAGTTACAGAGTCTTGAAACATACTAGAAGGCCCAACTTTGGTGATTACTTACTCTTTATTGCCCTGTAGTTATTTTCCAGAACCATAAGCAGTTCCTTAGGCACTCTCTAAAAAAAGTATTTATACATCCTTAGTCTTTCCTCAGCTAATCCATTAAACTAATTAACTTTTGGTCCCTATTCCTCATTAACAGCTGCTGCTCTGCCTATTTGCAAAATAATAAATTTGAAATCATGGTTGTCAACAAATATTATTACTAATATAAGTCTTCCCATTAACTTAGTGTAATTGTTATGGCAGCAAAGGTCATGTCTCTGGTCTTCGTCACTCTATTTACAATGCTTAGCACAGTGCTTGTCACCTAGTGGGAACACATTAACTATGTATTAAATGGATGGCATGAGCTAGAGTTTCCTGGCCCTGAAACTCTTCTTGCACATTAAGCTAATCCTGGATAAGACTATCATTCTGAACAAGAACCTTGTTCCCATACACCCAACAGACACACTTATCCCATCTTTATGTCTATTTTTTTCCTTAGCTTAATTTTATCATTCTCCACATTTACCTCTTTCATTATTTATTTTCAATCTCTTCTTTGGTGTTTCATTTGTTGCAGCCCTGCCCTTTCTCCCCCACCTGACTCTAGCAAGGCACAGTTCTGGGTAGGAGATGAGACTTCCTCTAAGCTTAGCCCTCACTGGGATGCTACTAGATCTCCCTACACACCTTCTCCACCACCACAGAGAGCGGTAAGACAATAATTTTCTATATGCATGCAAGGCTTAGAATTGAGGATTTCACTAAGAAATGGGACAAAAAAAAAAAAAAAAAAAAGAGAGGAAAGGGATTGAATGGAAAGTTTAGAAGCTCCATTGCAATCACCCTGAAGTACCATCTTAGGGAAAGAAAACTGAATTTAAATATTCCTTGGACTAATGAACCACTGTGAGAAGAAATTTAAGTTAATATAGGATTAGTTAATGATAGTTGTTAATAATTATTATTGTGTTGCTATATATTGGTAATATATTGGTAATTAACTAGAATTACAATAGCTGAAGATGTATTGAGCCTTTATTATATACTAGGAACAGTGTTAGGCACTGTACCTTATTATCTCATTGAATTAATGGATTCTATTATCTTCACGACTTTACTGGGAAGGAATCCGAGCCGCAGAGAGGTAAATAAATGTACCCGAGGTTTCTGGCTAGCCTGGGAGTTTAAGAATTCTGGCTCCAGAGCCCATTTGCTTCACCTATATACTACACTAGGTGAATGACCAATCTAAAAATTAACTTCAGATGCTCCAAATTCTAAAGCAGCCCATTGAGTTTTAATAAAATGACACAGAACCTTAAATCTCTAATTTGGCTTGAACTTCTGATTCACATGGAGATTATTCTTTTAAAATTAGCCTAAATGGAGCACCTTTCATGGCTTAAAACATAGGATTCTTCAAAAATGTAAATTTACCAAAAGTCTGATTGAAGTGAAACTATTGACTCTCATCCGGCAATATCACCCTGGTTCTCACCTAGTAACAATAATCCTCACAATACTTAGTGGAATATCTTCATAATTCACAGCTTATCTTCTCCCTGCCTGATCTCAGTCACCCCCAACTGCCTTCAGCATAACCTCAACTCAGAGCTAAAACAGTGAAAACATCAAGAACATAAATGGAAAAAGGGACAGAAAATTTAATATGCACATATTTTAATGTGGGACTCATATGTGCTTATGTAGAGATTTACTTGGTAGGTTAATGACAAATATGTATTTCCTTCCCTTTCTAGTCCTTTCCTCCTAGAAATTATGAAAAGAACCATCTGAGTTGTCCATTCAGTATTTCTCACTGTCCTACATATTTCAGTTCGATGGATTTACAATAGCTCAAGGATCTTTCAGCGTATATATTCAATAGAAAAACTTACTATTGGACACACACCCTAATTTGTAAGCTTTAGTAATTGCTGCGGCTATGTGAGCAAAACAACTTCAGAACAATAGGATATAAAAGCCCTGAATGTTGTGTTCATTTCTTCTACATCAATTACAGCTGGACTATAAACCTCTTCTGAGAGGAAGCTATGTCCATTTAATCAAGCTTTGCATACTACCCTGCATGAGTCCAGAGACACACCTGATATTAGTTGCTGCAATGCTACAGATATAGTTCCCTTATCAACTCTGACATCCTCTGGTGTCAGATATTTTGGCAGCAGGTAGAAAAATAGAGGGGACCGACTAATGGATTCTATTTAAGGACATTTGATGAAAATGTTGACTGGCCCATGACCGATTTTATTCTTAGCGCTTAAATGTTAGTCAATTTGAATGTTAATTAGCCATAATGACAAGGAGTGTCTCTTTTATGATCCTCTTAACATGTATCCAGAGGCTAATAAGTAATGGGTGCATCCCATAAATATAATAAGTAAATAAATTAGCATCAGTTAATTTAAATGTAAGCAAACTGCACTATCTGCTCTCCCTGCATTTCAGCTATTTTCCTCTCAGCATCTCTTCTCGCCTCATCAATTTCACAATCTAAACAATATACTCTACAGCTGAAGAGCAAGGTCAGACATTATTGAATTCAGTGTAAAGCAAGTGGACCTTTTTTCACTTTTTAGACACATGTTGTCAGATAACTGGGTGGTGAGAATAAAGGTCAAAGGAAATGAGACTCGTAAAACTCTGTGTGGACAACAGCTTTCACCACGGTGATTAATCCAGATGGTTAGCACAGTCATCAAAAAGGTTAATTTGGTCAGAGAACTACCTAGACTCAATTTTTTGAAAGCTGAAATGACTAGGTAAGTGAATGATCGAATATTTCAGCCACGATAAAAGGATCAGTTGGGTTTGTAGATGCCTGTAATTTCCTCCACTGGCTGTATCAACTAGAATTTCTGGATCAATTACAGGTGCTCCACTCTGGATGGTAGAATATAGTCAGGAACATTTTATAAACTGGGTCCCAATAGCTTTTGTTTCTGTAAATCACTGTCTCTTAGAGGAAAAGGCCACAGGGACACATTCCAGTTAGAAAGGAAAGGAAGAGAGTTATTTGAGAAAGATGCTGTTATTTCATCCCTGCCTCTGCTTACTCATTCACTCGCTCACTCAGTATTAGTTTCTGGATTGTATTAGTGGATACATTAACAAATTTAGCACATCTCACAGAGAAAGGCTGAAGCTTGGAGATTGAGTGGGAGTAGACACTGGAAGCTTAAACTGAGGGGCACCCTCCCTGGAGGTACCAATTGCCACACAGTGCATGCCAGAGTTCTCATGGGAACATCCCTACTGGGCTTTAAAAGTAGAGACCCTGACACACTTCTCTCTCCAAGAAATGTGAATGGCGGTCAAAGTTGCTGCTCTGTCAGTCAAGGGGCAGGATTTGGGAGCAACTGGTTTTCTTAGACAGATATATTTCATTCAATGTTTCATTCAGTCTTCCTTGCACAAGAAATGCCAACGTAATTTCCAGGGAACAGCCTGAACAGGGGCCTTCACCTTCCTCCTTCTAGAAGGGGCTAAACAAGCTCATTTAGAATGATGCAATCATCCTGGTTCTGTTTAAATTTCCTCTACCCATCCATTAACTATGTGGCCAATGGCAAAAAAAAAAAAAAAAAAAAAAAAAAAGAAGAAGGAGGAGGAGGAGGAGGAGAAGGAGGAGGAGAAGAAGAAGAAGAAGAGGAGGAAAGGAGCTTCATCTTCTTCTAGGAATTTATTCAGACTCCTCATCTTTTTAAGGCCAGGAAGTGGCTTCTTCTCAGTCCTCCCAGGCCACTGACCTTTGGCTCCTGCATCCACCCTGCTCCGGCCTATCAGACTTGCCCTGGCTTGAGCACAGCTGAGTCATCCTTGGGAACTTTGTTCTTAGCATCTTGAATGTGCACGCTTGTCCTGATATGATCACCAGGACTGGACCTCAGCATGGCCCCTAGCAGCCCTGCAGCCAGGCCCTGCCAGAACCCTGAGGGAGACATGGGGACAGGGGCCACTCCAGTCAGTGCAACCTGCCCCTGTGCTGACACACTGGCTTACAGCCACCTGCCAGGGGCTGCTCCTCATTGTTCTCAAAGCAAAAAAAAACCTCTTTCAATTTTTCACACCACTGGACCCAAGAAAAAAATTAAACCCAAAGCAGAATAGCCTCAGGCTTTAGATCTCCCTACCTCCTTCAGGCTTTTATCTAAGCTCCTTTATCTCTGCTATCCTTGGTGGTGACCTGATATTATTTAAGTGAAAAAGGTTGGCCAGCAAGAGTAAAGTATAAAATGAGAGGGAAAAAGAGTAACTCTACAATACAGAAACCCAGCAACATTACCTCAGCAAGGTCAACATCAATAGTGATAAGTCGTATTGATATAGCTCTCTTAATAGAATACAATAAAAATGGCACTTTACACCTACAGTCTTCTTCCCAAAAATACACACTAACACAGGCTAATCATGAGAAAAACATTAGCTCAATCCTAATTAAGGGTCATTCTACAAAATATCTGACCAGGACTCCTCAAAACTATCGAAGTCATCAAAAACAAAGTCCAAGAAACTGCCATGGCCCAGAGGAACCTAGGGAGATGAGAGGACCAAATGTAATGTGATGTCATGGATGGGATTCTGGGAACAAAAAATACCCTAGGTAAAAACTAAAGACATCTGAATAAAGTATGGACTTTACTTAATAGAAATGTCTTAACATTGGCTTACATTAATTGCAGTTTGACATGTATGTAGTTGTTTGTCAGAAGGTCGGATCCCAGGGCAAGCTGGACTCAAGCCCTTATGCCAGGTCCTTAGCAAACAGAATCCTGAACCACAGAGTTAAAAACCTGATCCTGGGAACTGGGTTGCTGAGAATCACAAGGGCCCCACCTTAGCAGAAGGATGGGAGGATAACAGGTGAGTCCCTGGATTCTAGGGCTGGCTGGCTGGAGAGGGGATTCAGAGCTATCGTGTTGCCAATACACAGCCCAGTAGCCCTGGGGTGTTCAGGTCTGCTGGAGGGAGGGGAAGCCTTTGAGATGATTTAAAACTGACTTTCCCATGTCACAGCAACCGGGAGTCTCAACCAAGTGGAGTCAAGGAAGGTAGTAGAGTCAGAGAAGTCAAAGAGGGGATAACATCATAAGCACTATAATAGGGTCCTAATAAAATGACCACAACTCAGTCCAAAAGCTGATACAGTGTATTCAGTAAGCATTAACATTTAGAAATGCGTGTGGAATCCTTTGGCTTACCAGACATTGCATAATAACTCAGGATTAGTAACAAAAAGTAAAATAAAAGCTTATAAACCAAGACTAATTAGTGTGAAAGTCAGTCTAAGTTACAGAAATATTTTACACATAGTTCTTTCACTTTGTCCTATGGAGACAGAAGCAGACACTGTGGACGGCATTAGCGCAAAGGTTGGGATACTCCAAATTGCCCTATTGCAAATTACTCGGAAATGTATATGGTAACAGACACTTTTGTGGACACCATATTATGTGCCCTGTGCTTAGCACTGTGTGCTTAGCTGTCCACGTGTATAGGTTAAAGATTACCCTACTAAATACTTCATAATGAAGGGAACATTATATTCATTTTACTTATAAGAAAGTAGGGCTATTCAATTTTATGTAACTTGTCCCAAGACCACTTGAGTACTGAAACTGACACTGAAAGAAACAGAGAATCCCCAGATGCCAAGTCAGGCACTAATCTCTCCTGGTCATGGTTTCAGGCCAAGTTCTGGGAAGTGAGGTTCATCGTGGGATCTTACGAAGGGTTAGCCAATCAGTAAGGTCACTGCTAACAAGCAAACAGGTCCATTAAAATACTGGGACTTTGGAGCAAGATAGACCAGGTTCTAATCCCAGCTCCGCCACTTGGTAACTGTGAGAACTTGAGTAAGTTACTTACCATCTCTGAGTCTCACTTTCCTTATCTATATAAGGCATTTTAGTATTACCCCTTCCATAGGACTGTCACAAGAATTAAAAGAGATTTTGTAGTATAAAATGCTAGAAACTATTTATTGTTACATAGTAAACAACCAGTTTAATAATTCATTTTAAAAATGTATATGTATCACAAAGTTATACGTAATACAACCCACATTCTCAAAAGTGAGTGCTGTGAAGTCTTTGTTCTCTCAAAGCCCCACTAAAACCCCAATTATCACCTGTGGACTGTTCAGAGCAAAGTTAATTCTCAGCGTGCCTTTTCTTTGCTTCCACAGCAAATTACTGATGCATCTATTAAAGCATCTATCCTATGTGCAGTGTGGTTAGTTCTTCTGGGTCTCTCTTTCAAGCTTGATGTGTGCTTTTGAGGATAAGATTATATCACTGCTTCCCTAAGATCTAGAATAGTGTCTAGCACTTGGCAAAAGTTACACACACACACACATTTTTTTTTTTTTTTTTGCGACGGCGCTTTTTCACCCAGGCTGGAGTGCAGTGGCGTGATCTCGGCTCACTGCAAGCTCCACCTCCTGGGTTCACGCCATTCTACTGCCTCAGCCTCCTGAGTAGCTGGTACTACAGGTGCCTATCACCGCGACCAGCTAATTTTTTGTATTTTAGTAGAGATGGGGTTTCACCGTGTTAGCCAGGATGGTCTCGATCTCCTGACCTCGTGATCCACCCACCTCAGCCTCCCAAACTGCTGGGATTACAGGCCTAAGCCACCATGCCTGGCTGAGATATATCTTTAATCACTGAATTCTGCTTTAAGGTGCTTAGTAAATCCTATTAAGAAAATGTTAAATATCACAACTAAAACATATGCACTGAAAGTACAATTTGCCTTATCTAAGTATACTCTCCAACATATAATGACATTGATACGATGCTTTGATTCGCAATGTCTTCGAAATTCAAAGATTGGCTACATCAATGTAGACACCCTAAAATGTTGGAATTGAAATAGGCTCTATTCCATTGTGCTGTCCCCCAGAAAAGCAGCTCCAAGCTTCATCACTGCAGGCTAAAGAGCTGACTGAACTCCAGGCCAGTGTGGACAAGGGTAAAGAATATCAAAGTCAATGCATTGTTGTTATTTGTTTCAACTACGAATTTCCCTTGGGTTCCTTTTAATGTCTCTGGCTTTCTTAGAATTATAAGTGGCAATGCTCAAAGGCAATGTTAAGAAAAATGCCTGATTTCACATACAATATGTCCTGCAAGGAATTCATTTGCCTGAAATAAAATGAAAAATGTAGACATGGTTCAAGGTTGTATTCATCCACATGGTGAGAACAGAGCATGAAATTATAGGGGCATGAGTATTAGGGAGAGTGGAGCTTTCATGTAGATTCCTCAGAGATGAATTGAAGTTACGGTCCCAGGAGGCATTTGTGCAACACTTGCCTGTTGCCCTACCTGTCAGATTTACATTGTGAGTCTGCTGGGTCCAGCTATAATTTTAAGTTTGATAGCATGGCTGACAGTCTATTATGCTCAATGCATTTTTTAAAACTTTTACTTTCGAAGAAAAATCACAGCTTTCTTATTCTTTTCTATTCATCATACGTCCATGTTGCTAAGGTGGAGTCTTGGAATTTTCTTGGTCTCAATGCGGTAGAATAGGCCCATCCCATGGAGTTTTGCCATAAGACTGGCCCTGGAGAAAGGCAGAGGCCAAGATCCCACATTTGGCATGTTTTAAACCAGTTCTGAGAGATACCATTGCATATTTGTTTTCTTGCCATCCGGAGTATGATAGGAATCTCCCAACAGAGAGAGCACTCTACTTGCTATTCTAGACCTAAGGTCCTCATGACCTGGTGATCCAAGGAATTGGTGCCCTTTGGAATGTCTTTGTGAGGAGGCAGAGCGAAGGGAAAGGATATTGTCTATGTGTTTCTGGAAACTTCTGTGAAACCAGCAGCCATATTTTCCCACCTGTGTCTATCCTATTTCTCAATATTCACTTGTTAGTAGCACTGGTCCCAAAGACACCACCTCGTCAGGGACACACCATGGAATCAGGAACTTCTGGGACATAAACCTTTCCATTATTTTTTCTTTCCTTCTGTAATAGATGAGAACATGAGTCTCCAAAAGGGCAAAGTTATTTACTCACAAAGCAAGAAAGGGTTTCATGTATTCCTTTGCTTTTGGAAAGACTCAGTTTATTCCTAATTTATTCCAGGAAGGTAGAAATCCAAGGTACAATTAATGACCTTCAGATATTCTGCGAACTCTATTATTGATCCATCCTCATGATTAACAGCCCCAGTGGTCAATATATGAGTCCTTAATTCTAGTCACAGTCTTCCCTATTACAGAGTTCCTCTTGTTTGGTTTTCTCAGAGGAGAGGTAGAACTCAAATCAACTCATAAAATAACAAAGACATATGAAAAACACAATGCATATCTTTTACTGGATTTGTCCAATAGACAATAAGGACTCTGAGAAATAGATTATTTCTGATTATGGAAGTTAAAGAAGTCCGTGTATTTAGAAAAAAAGACGGGGGAAAATAGGACTATCAATAAGAAGATGTGTATCTGCCTTCCCTGGAGTATTCCTCTTTAATATATTTCCCCTACTTTGGGATAGTTAATTGTGCTGTCACAGGAATGGTTCCTAGAGCCCAGGTATTGCAGGTGGCACCCTAGAGCAACAGGAACTCCCTCTTGTCCTACTCTGTTTAGCAGTCTTTCTACCCAAAGCTGTGCTGCATGAGGATTCCAAATACCCAGGGTTTCATTTGGATTTATGTAAAATTCCACCTTCATGTTGGCTTGGTTTTTCAGATCCCTCCTTTTAGTGAGTTTATTTAGGACCCTTTTTAAATACTAATTAAATTGAAAAGCATGCTGGTCTAAGAGACAAGCCATCCATGGGCTAAACCCATTATACCCTCTTTGAATCCCAGTTACATCATCTACAGAATGGAGGGTCAGAGATACCTGAATACGTATTTAAGATCTATCCCATTTTGTATGTTACTTCTCTCTACGAGGTCAAGAATAATAAAGGAAAAGGGAGAGGGTATTTGTCCGTAAGCTTTGCAAACTTCTATCATGTTCACAGTGTTTGGATCCCAAGGAAAGACTGGGAACATGAGCTTTAATTCCTGGAGAAGACACAGCTGGGAAGAATAGGCCTAAACAAGCACAAAAACCGCTAGTGTTAAAGTCAAATAAGTAGTGACTCTGTTAACTATATTAAGGGATGCCACATAATATATCATCTACAGTTTTTGAGAATAAACTGGTATACTATTAAATAATTACACTGGAAAACCAAATATAAACTGGGGCTGTCTCATGAAAACTACTATAAATAGTCAAAACTTTATGAATGGTCACCTTGCTAAATGCCAATAGGTGTCCTTTTTTTTTTTTTGTAACCATGCACTAAAATTGAAGAATGTATTTTATCATGAACTGTGGGTCTCAATGCTTCAAACAGACTGAAAAAAAAATAAAATAGCATAAAAGACACTGAATGGCAACATAAAGCTGGAAATGTCATTTAGGACTCTGGAGATGTCCTAGTTTTGACCTCATAGAAATATTGCCTAATTAATGACACACAGTATGTACTAAAACATCTTATGAAAGACCCTAATATTCATCCTTATGCAATTTCTGTTTTTCGGCTGTGAACATTACAAAAAGGTCTAGCACATTTGTCGTCACCCTTATAAAATGAAACTTTTATAATTTCATTTCACAAACTGTTCCTCTTTTTCCCTCCTGCCTATAAAAAATACTTTTATGCAGTGTCTACCCCAGTAATTCAGTCAAAAACAAAGTCATTTGGTGACAAAGAAAACATGAAGTCAATTTTTTTTTCTTTAGGTGATCTCCATTTGACTCAAATTAAATAAAACAAGGCCAGGTGCAGTGGCTCATGCCTGTAATCTCAGCACTTTCGGAGGCCGAGGCAGGCGGATCACCTGAGGTCAGGAGTTCAAGACCAGCCTGGTCAACAGGGCAAAACCCTGACTCTACTAAAAGTACAAAAATTAGCTGGGAGTGGTGGTGTGCACTCATAATCTCAGCTACTTGGGAGGCTGAGGCAGGAGAAACACTTGAAAAGGGAGGCGGAGGTTGCAGTGAACCAAGATGGTGCCATTGCACTCCAGCCTGGGTGACAGAGTGAGACTCCATCTCTTAATAAATAAATAAAATGCAAAACACATAACATAGTGGACAAAATAAATAGTTAAGCAGCCCCACTTGGGCAGCTTTAGGATATGATCCACAAAGGATTTCAACTAATGTGTGCATTTATATTATAATGTATTCTTACAGCAGAACAGCCTTAAGGCTGCATTTAGGCAGGGCATAACTCATGTCCACTACTCACTTTGGCCACCATGTTTGAGGCTTCAGTTGTTGGCCGGTTCCATCTGGCTGAAGTTGATACTTCCTGAAAGAACCTTTGTAGTTAGGACCAAAGGTATTTAGACAGCATTGTCCCTGTGTGAATGAACCCACACTATGGAACCATACACAATTTCTCTTGGTGCTCACTTAAGCAAATAGCTGGTAGACACAAAATATATGTAAAATCATTTGACAGACCTGGGAAAAGAGATTTTCTTTGTCCTGGATCTGCCAGAACACCTTTCTTTGGTAACAAAGGTTCTAGATTTTCCTTTAATCCTTTTGTACATCATACAAATTTGTCTTAGACCCACCCATGGCTAAGCTGACATTCCTTTGTATGAGGGCTTTTACATTAACTTCAAAGAATTCGCAGTCTTTCAGAGTACAAATCTTCAATGTTCAAGTTCTAAATATAGAGTTTTAGCTAGCTTCATTTCTATATTGGTTCCTGTTTTCTACTACATGTGTTCTGCTACATATGTTCTACTATATACTAGAGAAGTAACAATACTCTAGCTGATGCTTTGAAAAAAATGTTTGCTACCTCTCCCATGGGGTTGGCATTTTCTTCCTGTTTCTCTTGGTGAATTATCTGTGTGTTATTTTTATGTCTCTATCTCCCTCACACACAAACACGTCTTTGTCCATCCATAGACGGACAAAGATCTCTCCACAATCATCTGACAGTGTGACGGTAAAAAGATTATACAGATGAGTAGCATAGAGTTGCCTACTTTTAGAATTATCCAGTATATTAAAAATACAGACACCCAGAGCCCACCTCTCCCTCTTGAATCAGATATCAGAAACTATAGCATGTTGGCCCTGGACATCACTTTTAGAAAGCTCCTTGGGGTATTCTGATGATCAACTACATTTGGAAATCACTGATTATAAATTACCAGAAGTTTAACTGAAAAATAAAACACACTTTATTGAAAATGTTTTCTGCACTATACAGGAATCATTGACTTTAACTTGCTTCCCAATTTCTATTAATAGTCTGGAATTTTGCTGGGTTTTTTTAATTATACTTTAACTTCTGGGATACATGTTCAGAACATTCAGGTTTGTTACATAGGTATACACATGCCATGGTGGTTTGCTGCACCCATCAACTCATCATCTACATTAGGTATTTCTCCTAATGCTATCCCTCCCCTAGCCCCCCACCCCCAAACAGGCCTTGGTGTGTGATACTCCCCTGCCTGTGTCCATGTGTTTTCATGGCTCAACTCCCACTTATGAGTGAGAACATGTGGTGTTTGGTTTTTTGTTTCTGTGTTAGTTTGCTGAGAAAGATGGTTTCCAGCTTCATCCATGTCCTGCAAAGGACATGAACTCATGCTTTTTTATGGCTGCATAGTATTCCATGGTGTATATCTGCCACATTTTCTTTATCCAGCCTATCACTGATGGGCATTTGGGTTGGTTCCAAGTGTTTGCTATTGTGAATAGTGCTGCAGTAAACATATGTGTGCACGTGTCTTTATAACAGAGTGATTTATAATCATTTGGGTATATACCCAGTAATGGGATTGCTGGGTCAAGTGGTATTTCTGGTTCTAGATTCTTGAGGAATCACCACACTGTCTTCCACAATGGTTGAACTAATTTACACTCCCACCAACAGTGTAAAAGCATGCCTATTTCTCCACATCCTCTCCAGCACCTGTTGTTTCCTGACTTTTTAAAGATCGCCAGTCTAACTGGCATGAGATGGTATCTCATTGTGGTTTTGATTTGCATTTCTCTAATGACCAGTGATGATGAGCTTTTCTTCATATGTTTGTTGGCCACATAAATATCTTCCTTTGAAAAATTTCTATTCACATCCTTTGCCCACTTTTTGATGGGGTTGTTGGTTTTTTCAATTGTAAATTTGTTTAAGTTCCTTGTAGATTCTGGATACTAGCCCTTTGTCAGATGGATAGATCAAAAACATTTTCTCCCATTCTGTAGGTTGCCTGTTCACTCTGATGATAGTTTCTTTTGCTGGGCAGAAGCTCTTTAGTTTAATTAGATCCCATTTGTCAATTTTGGCTTTTGTTGCCATTGCTTTTGGTGTTTTAGTCACAAAGTCTTTGCCCATGCCTATGTCCTGAATGGTATTGCCTAGGTTTTCTTCTAGGGTTTTTATGGTTTTAGGTCTTATGTTTAAGTCTTTAATCCACCTTGAGTTAATTTTTGTATAAGGTGTAAGGAAGAGGTCCAGTTTCAGTTTTCTACATATGGCTAGCTAGTTTTCTCAATGCCATTTATTAAATAGGAAATCCTTTCCCCATTGCTTGTTTTTGTGAGGTTTGTCAAAGATAAGATGGTTGTAGAAGTATGGCATTATTTCTGAGGCCTCTGTTCTGTTCCATTGGTCTATGTATCTGCTTTGGTACCAGTACCATTACCATGCTGTTTTGGTTACTGTAGCCTTGTAGTATAGATTGAAGTCAGGTAGCATGATGCCTCCAGCTTTGTTCTTTTTGCTTATGATTGTCTTGGCTATATGGGCTTGTTTTTTGTTCCATATGAAATTTAAAGTTGATTTTCTAATTCTGTGAAGAAAGTCAATGGTAGCTTGATGGGGTTAGCATTCAATCTATAAATTACTTTGGGCAGTATGTCCATTTTCTCTATATTGGTTCTTTCTATCCATGAACATGGATTGTTTTTCCATTTGTTTATATCCTCTCTTATTTCCTTGAGCAGTGGTTTGTAGCTCTCCTTGAAGAGATCCTTCACATCCCTTGTAAGTTGTATTGCTAGGTATTTTATTATCTTTGTAGCAATTGGGAATGGGAGTTCACTTATGATTTGGCTCTCTGTCTGTTATTGGTGTATAGGAATGTTTGTGATTTTCACACATTGATTTTGTATACGGAGACTTTGCTGAAGTTGCTTATCAGCTTAAGGAGATTTGGGGTTGCGACAATGGGTTTTCTATATATACAATCATGTCATCTGCAAACAGAGACAATTTGACTTCCTCTCTTCCTATCTGAATACCCTTTATTTCTTTCTCTTGCATGATTACCCGGGCCAGAACTTCAAATACTATGTTGAATAGGAGTGGTAAAAGAGGACATCCTTGTCTAGTGCTGGTTTTCAAAGGGAATGCTTCCAGCTTTTGCTATTCAGTATGATAGAGATACGTTCCATCAGCACCTAGTTTATTGAGAGTTTTTTGCATGAAAGGTTGTTGAATTTTATTGAAGGCTTTTTCTGCATCTACTGAGATAATCATGTGGTTTTTGTCATTGGTTCTGTTTCTGTGATGGATTATGTTTATTGATTTGCATATGTTGCATCCCATGGATGAAGGTGACTTTATCGTGGTGGATAAGCTTTTTGATGTGCTGCTAGATTCAGTTTGCCAGTGTTTTATTGAGGATTTTCACATTGATATTCATCAGGGATATTGGCCTGAACTTTTCTTTTCTGTTGTGTCTCTGCCAGGTTTTGGTATCAGGATGATGCTGGCCTCATAAAATGAGTTAGGGAGGAGTCCCTCTTTTTCTATTGTTTGAGATAGTTTCAGAAGAAATGATACCAGCTCCTCTTTGTGTCTCTGGTAGAATTCGGCTGTGAATCTGTCCAGTCCTGGACTGTTTTTGGTTGGTAAGCTATCAAGTACTGCCTCAATTTCAGAACTTCTTATTAGTCTATTCGACTTCTTCCTGGTTTAATCTTGGGAGTGTGTATGTGTCCAGGAATGTATCCATTTCTTCTAGATTTTCTAGTTTATTTGCATAGAGGTATTTATGGTATTATCTGATGGTAGTTTGTATTTCTGTGGGATCAGTGGTGATCTCCCCTTTATCATTTTTTATTATGTCTATTTGATTCTTCTCTCTTTTATTTTTTATTAGTCTGGCTAGTGGTCTATCTATTTTGTTAATCTTTTCAAAAAAAATCAGCTCCTGGATTCATTGATTTTTTTGAAGGGTTTTTCATGTCTCTATCTCCTTCCGTTCTGCTCTAAGTATTTTCTCGTTTTCTGCTAGCTTTTGAATTTGTTTGCTCTTGCTTCTCTAGTTCCTTAATTATGATGTTAGCTTGTCGATTTTAGATCTTTCCCACTTTCTCCTGTGGGCATTTAGTGCTATAAATTTCCCTCTAAACGCTGCTTTAGCTGTGTCTCAGAGATTGTGGTAAGTTGTGTCTTTGTTCTCACTGGTTTCAGAGAATTTCTTTATTTCTGCCTTACTTTTGTTATTTACCCAGTAGTCATTCAGGAGCAGGTTGTTCAGTTTCCATGTAGTCGTGCAGTTTTGAGTGAGTTTCTTAATCCCGAGATCTAATTTGATTGCACTTTGGTCTGAGAGACTGTTTGTTATGATTTCCATTCTTTTGCGTTTGCTGCAGAGTGTTTTACTTCCAATTATGTGGTCAATTTTTGATTAAGTGCTATGCAGTGCTGAGAAGAATGTATATTCTGTTGATTTGAGGTCGAGAGTTCTGTAGATGTCTATTAGGTCCACTTGGTCTAGAGCTTAGTTCAAGTCCTGAATATCCTTGTTAATTTTCTGTCTCGTTGATCTAATATTGACAGTGGGGTGTTAAAGCCTCCCACTATTATTGTGTGGGAGTCTAAGTCTCTTTGTAGGTCTCTAAGAACATGCTTTATGAATCTGGGTGTTCCTGTATTGGGTGCATATAAATTTAAGACAGTTAGCTCTTCTTGTTGCATTGATCCCTTTCCCATTATGTAAGGCCCTTCTTTGTCTTTTTAAATCTTTGTTGGTTTAAAGTCTATTTTATCAGAGATGAGGATTGCAACCCCTGCTTTTTTTCCTTTCTATTTGCTTGCTAAATCTTCCTCCATCCCTGTATTTTGAGCCTATGTGTGTCTTTGCATGTGAGATGGGTCTCCTGAATACAGCACACCGATTGGTCTTGACTCTTTATCCAATTTGCCAGTCTTTGTCTTTTAATTGGGGCATTTAGCCCATTTACATTTAAGGTTAATATTGTTATGTGTGAATTTGATCCTGTCATGATGCTAGCTGGTTATTTTTCCCATTAGTTGGTGCAGTTTCTTCATAGTGTCAATGTTCTTTACCTTTTGGTATGTTTTTGCAGTGGCTGGTACTGGTTTTTCCTTTCCATATTTAGTACTTCCTTCAGAAGCTCTTGCATGGTAGGCCTGGTGATGACAAAATATCTCAGCATTTGCTTGTTTGTAAAGGATTTTATTCTCCTTCACTTATGAATCTTAGTTTGGCTGGATATGAAATTCTGAGTTTTTTTTCTTTAAGAATGTTGAATATTGGCCCCACTCTCTTCTGGCTTGTAGGGTTTCCATAGAGAGATATGCTGTTATCCTGATGGTTTCCCTTTATGGGTAACCCGCCCTTTCTCTCTGGCTGCCCTTAACATTTTTTCCTTCATTTCAGCCTTGGTGAATCTGACGGTTATGTGTCTTAGGGTTGCTCTTCTTGATGAAGTTGCTGTTTGTATTGTTCACTGTATTTCCTGAATTGGAATGTTGGCCTGTTTTGCTAGGTTGGGGAAGTTTTCCCGGATAATATCCTGAAGAGTGTTTTCCAACTTGGTTCCATTCTCCCCGTCACTTTCAGGTACACCAATCAAACATAGATTTGATCTTTTCACATAGTCCCATATTTCTTGGAGGATTTGTTCACTCCTTTTCATTCTTTTTTCTCTAATCACATCTTCACACTTTATTTCATTAAGTTGATCTTCAAACTCTGATATCCTTTCTTTCACTTGATTGATTTGGCTATTGATACTTGTGCATGCTTCATGAAGTTCTCCTGCTGTGTTTTTCAGCTCCATCAGGTCATTTATATTCTTCTCTAAAGTTATTCTAGTTAGCAATTCCTCTAACTTTTTTCAAGGTTCTTAGCTTCCTTGCATTGGGTTAGAATATGCTCCTTTAGCTCAGAGGAGTTTGTGATTAACCACCTTCTGAAGCCTCCTTCTGTTAATTCGTCAAACCCATTCTCCATCCAGTTTTGTTCCCTTGCTGGTGAGGAGTTGTGAGGTTTTGGAGAAGAGGCATTCTGGTTTTTGGAATTTTCAGCATTTTTGGACATTTTTCCTCATCTTTGTGCATTTATCTACCTTGGTCTTTGATGTTGGTGACCTTCAGATGGGGTTTCTGTGTGGATGTTCTCTTTGTTGATTTTGATGCTATTCCTTTCTGATTGTTAGTGTTCCTTCTAACAGTCAGGCCCCTCTGCTGCAGGTCTGCTTGAGTTTGCTGGAGGTACACTCCAGATGCTGTTTGCCTAGGTGTCACCAGCAGAGGCTGCAGAACAGCAAAGATTGCTGCCTGTTCCTTCCTCTGGAAGCTTCATCCTAGAAGGGCACTCACTGGATGCCAGCCGAAGCTCTCCTGTGTGAGGTGTCTGTCGACCCCTGCTAGGAGATGTCTCCCTGTCAGGAGGCACACAAGTCAGGGACCCACTTGAAGAGGTAGTCTGTTCCTTAGTAGAAATCTAGTGCTGTATTGGGAGATCCACTGCTCTCTTCAGAGCCAGCAGGCAGGAATGTTTTAAGTCTGCTGAAGCTGTGCCCACAGCCACCCCTTCCCCCAGGTGCTCTGTCCCAGGGAGATGGGAGTTTTATTTATAAGCCCCTGACTGGAGCTGCTGCCTTTCTTTCAGAGATACCCTGCCCAGAGAGGAGGAATCTAGAGAGGCAGTCTGGCTACAGCAGCTTTGCTGAGCTATAGGGGGCTCTGCCCAGTCCTAACTTCTGGGCGGCTTTGTTTACACTGTGAGGGGAAAACTGCCTACTCCAGTCTCAGTAATGGCGGACACCCCTCCCCCAACAAAGCTAGAGCATCCCAGGTCGACTTCAGACTGCTGTGCTGGCAGCGAGAATTTCAAGCCAGTGAATCTTAGCTTGCTAGGCTCCATGGGAGTGGGATCCACTGAGCTAGGCCACTTGGCTCCCTGGCTTCAGCCTCTTTTCCAGGGGAGTGAATGGTTCTGTCTTGCTGGCATTCCTGCACCACTTTGGTATGAAAAAAAAAAAAACTCCTGCAGCTAGCTTAGTGTCTGCCCAAACAGCCACCCAGTTTTGTGCTTGAAACCCAGGGCCTTGGTGGTGTAGGCACCCAAGGGATTCTCCTGGTCTGCCGGTTGCAAAGACTGTGGGAAAAGCATAGTATCTGGGCCATAATGCATCATTCCTCATGGCACAGTGCCTCACGGCTTCCCTTGGCTACGAGGGAGTTTCCTGACCTCTTGAACTTCCCAGGTGAGGCAACACCCTGCTTCTGCTCACCCTCCATGGGCTGCACCCACTTTCTAACCAGTCCCAATGAGATGAAGATGAGCTAGGTACCTCGGTTGGAAATGCAGAAATCACTTGCCTTCTGTGTTGATCTCGGTAGGAGCTATAGACCGGAGCTGTTCCTATTCAGCCATCTTGCCAGCCACCCCCCAAATTTTGCCGTTTAACCCCTGAAAGCTTACCACATGTGGACAAAAGTGCCAAGATATGCAGGACATATCTTAGTCATGTATCTTTGATAGCATATCACACTATCAAAAAATGTTCAGTCTTTGCCATCTATGATCTACTCATATCCAAGAGGGAACTTGGTTAGTACTACAGAGCATTAAGTCAATGGAAGTAAAACAATGTAGTGTCATAAAGCATTTTCTAGATTAAAACACCTGAAGTTACAATGATTTGGGCCCATATGTAACATGTCAGTTCAGTGAACCAAGGTCAAAGGAATTGCAGTTTCACACCCCCAGACTAAATCATCCCGACAAGCATGATGAATGATCTATTCTGAGGACAGGTAAGACTAAGTGCTGCAAGTTCTCAATTATGAGAGGTGCCTGTGGGAAGTCTGAATCATCCTAAGTCAGGAGCTGGGGTCTCCTCTTCACTCTTCAAAGGCAGTGGCTTAGCCCACCCTTAGCTTAAGACAATGTCAGTAATCTATGGGAAATTATCAAGACTAAGGATGAGCAAATATGTCTCCATTTTTGAAAAAAGAGAAAATGGCAGATGAAACCAGTGAGCTTGACACTGATCTTCAGCAAAATTCTGGAGCATATTAACAGGGAAATATGGGGTCTCTTAGGAAAGGAAGTAGAACTCATAAAAACCAGCACCTGTAACCAAGAACAATTTTGGGAATTGTTCCAGCTGTGCCAGCCCAACTTTGTTTCACACTTTGACAGGTTATTAGATAAGGAGACAGAGCTTAACAGGCCTTCAGTGAGGAATTTGCAAAAGTCTCTCAAGATATCCTTGCAAGTTATATAAAGAAAGATGGGTTCAATGGCAGCACTAAAATAGATTAGAAAGTGGTTGAATGATCATAACTAAATGGACCTGTGCCTTTGGTGATATGTCTTCTAGTACACTGTCCTTGGTTCTCTCCAGTTCAACAAATGTATCAATGACATGATAAAAAGATAAAAGAAATTCTTGTCAGCTCTGAAGTTTCCATGTAAATTAGTAGAAAGCCAAATGAAATGGATAGCAGATTCAAGATCCAAAGTGGTCTCCAAAGAATGGAATCTAATTGGATGAAACTGGGATAAGTGTGATTCAAGACTTGATCCATCTAGATCAACTATAGAGTGATACAGCAAGATACTTTCAGGTTAATGGCAATTAATATAAAAAATAACTTCGAGGCTTTATTTGACAATAAGCTGAAAATGAGTTAGCAATAGGATTAGGCCATCAAAAGAGCTTAAGTCTTCATGCTTCAGGCTTCATGAATAGCAATTTGGTTTTCAGAATAATAATGGTGGTCATCCGGGAATTCCATCATAATAAAAACTTAGATATTCCTGGGCTCTGAACATGCCAGTCTCTCATGTAGACCAGCATGCTCTGACACCTCCCTGCTTCTACTGCACACACACTCTTTGCCGCTGGCTAACCCTTCCTTCAGCTCTCAATGTAGATGCTACAAGAAGTTGTCCCAGACCTCAGGACCAAATTAGGTCCCCTTTCTCTGGGCATCTGTATGGCTAACAGCCATCAGATGATGTCTAACACTGTATGATACTATTTTGAATTGTCTGTTTCCACCTCTCTACTGTAAACAGCTTGCTCTGTTCAATGTTACATCCACAGGTTTACCAATGTTTCTTACTTAGGATATGTTCAATGAACATTTATTGCATTAATGAGTGAGGTAATTCAGATAACAATCGGAATGATGGAGAGATCCAAAAATACATCCCAAGACAAGTGATTGAAGAAACTACAGATTCTTACTGTGGAGAAAGGAAAACATATAGAGGTGATATGAGGGTAGTCTTCAGTTGTGTGAAAGTCCAAAGAAGAGTAATTCAACTTACTGTATGTGGCATGAAGGATAGAAGCTTTGAGAGGAAATATATTAACATGGTTTAAGAAATGACTTTCTAAGAGGACTATCGAAAATGAAATAAGTTCACATGAGAGGAAATAAGTTCACACACTACAGACATGCTAGAGCACAGGCTATTTGGCCACATGTGATGAATGCTATAAAGGAATTTTAAGTGCAAGTTGAAAAACTGAACTAGACGTTAAGTTCTCTAAGATTCCATGGTTGTATGATCAAGTCACAGAAATATATTCATGTAGAGCTCACACTGTCTTCCTCTGTGGAATAATAGGGATAAGATCTTTGTCCAAGAGAAATTGCATATCACTGGAATGGAAGAGTCCATTGTCTTTTGACTTGATCTTATCTATGCCAGGAAACTGGGTAAACTTTTTACATAGCATCGAATTGCTAAGCCTATTTCTTTTTCCATACAATGAAAAACTAGGTTGAACAAAATGATTCTCAATACTATTATGGATATATAATCTATTTTATGTTATTCAATGGCTTTAAATAACCTAGCCAAGGAGAACAATTGCTTTTCAGATGATATCCGTTACATTACATGCATTATGGCTGAGTCTCTCAGTGGCCAAATCCACTGAATTAGAACACTCAATAATGCACTGCCAAGATGGCTAGATTAATAGCTAGATATTGAATTACATTTTTTTTTTATAAAAAAGTGTTCCCCACCTGAGATCAGATGGACATCAATGGCCCTGATTACTGCTGAAAGGAGTCTTGCTGGCTGAGTTTCCACAGTTACTATCACAAATGACAGGCACTAATGTGCTGCAGTCTCCCCTTCTAGAGAGAAGCCCAGCCTGATCAGGACTCATAAACACTCAAATTTTTTGCCCTGACATTGGAAAGCACAGCCCAAGCTTTGGACATTTTCATTTAACACCGCATTTACAAAAATAAAAGAAAAATTGATCTCAGCTATGCTAGCATCAAATCTCTTGACATTATATTGGAATAGGCCATCTTTTCCATGAATACAGTTCCCTTTAGGTCATGTCAAAATCACAATCCACTTCTTAGAAACGAGTCAATATTTAGTCATCTCTACTCAAATTACATCTTGGCCTGGACTGAATTTTGTTTGTTGGTTTGTTTGTTTATGAAATACATGAACTGTCTGAGGGGGTACCTTCTGAAAGAGTGGGCCATTCTTATAACAGTGATATCTACATTATTAGGTAAAGAACACAGCAGAAAATGCAGTAATAGCCTCTTTGTCCAAGGCTAAGAAAAAGCTGTGAAAAAAAAGTCATGTGAAAATACTATGACATATAGGCACTTGTTTTTAATACACTAGGAATGAAGGATATATTCTCTTTGTTTTTCCAGTTTTCATTGTCTTAACTATAAATGTGAATAATCATAACATTTATAAGAGCACAACTTAGTGTACAAAATGGATGACAGATTAAAGATCCAAAGTGGTCTCAGAAGAATGGAATCTAATTGGATGAAATTGGGATAAGCATGGGTTCAAGACTTGATCCATTTAGATCAACTACACAGTGACATACCAGGAAACATTCAGGTTAATGACAATTAATATTAAAAAATCTTAGATGTTTTATTTGACAATGAACTAAAAATGAGTTAGCAATATGATTAAGCCATCAAAAGAGCTTAATAAGGCTTCATGCTAAATACACTATTTAGTTTATTTAATAGTGATTTTATAGGTGTTAAAGTATAATAACTGTTCTTATAAGTGTTGTTTACTTTAACATGTATAAGAACACTATTAAGTATCAGGCATATTATATAGTAACTCACTTAACTCATAATGGCCTTATTAAAAAGGTCATTACTTGCTATTATCCCCGTTTTACAGATGAGGAAACTGAAGCACAGCAGATACTGTGGTGTATCCCTCAGAGTACCGTTAGGACCAAGGAATTCATTCCTCAGCTGCTACTGGCTGCTGAAGCTCACAACTGAGTACTTCCCCTAGGAATTGCCCTCAGCCAAAGGGATCTTCTTTCCCTGGGGTTGTATACCCTCCCTACAGGAAGCTCATATTCAAGAACGGATCATTGGTGGGGAGTACAAAGGAAAGGCTCAGTCCACTTGCCTTAATTCCAGACACTGAAAGGCCATTGGGTAAAGAGGCATCCCAGCAGTTAGTGGTACCCACTGATCATCTGAGGCCTTCGTAATAGCAAATGCATCACAATTCAACTGTACTCTATGCCCAATCCAGCTTCCCTTACGCTCTCATAGGTGTTATTCCCAAGAACTCAACACAACTAATTTCCTACAGCAAGTCTCCATCTTGGAGACTGTATCATAAATAACCCAACCTATGACAAGTTTCTTGTCCAAGGTCACACAGCTAGTAAATGGCAAACCCAAGCAATACAGCTCCATTCTAAGTGTTCTTAGCCACGATGCTAATGTGCTTCTTCTAAGTAGGCTTAATTTTATGTCTGCATCTCAGTTAAAAGCCTGGGGAAACATTGCCCAAGTTGAGTGATCGTTAATGTTCCTCTAGATAGTTTAGGTGTACTTCAACAAATGTGACCCTGTTCAAATAACTTCAGGAAATGGCATATATTTTTTCCCATCTTGGAGAGTCTCCATGCATGTTAATATTTTAATGGCACTGAACATTTCTACAATTAAAAGAAAATTTGTTTACCCAAAATTGTTTGAACTTTTCAAGCCATAGCACCCTCTTGTGTGAAACATCTATTAGCACCAATCTGCTAGCGTCCTGCAGAAGCCATTAAGAAAATGCTGGTCTGGAGATACTATCACTCTTCTTCCAGGGGTATTCTGCCTCCCCTTTTAAAGCACACTTAGACATCCAACTACCTCTGGGAAGCTATATTAGACAGGCTAAAATATTTGTGATGTTTTGACCATCTCTACACAGAACTCTTTGCATTCTCTCTTTTTAATATAAATTTAAGGGGTACAAGTGCAATTTGGTTACATGAATATATTGCATAATGATAAAGTCTGGGTTTCTAGTATACCTATCACCTGAATAATGTACAGTGTACTCATTAAGTAATTTCTCATCACCCACCTCCTCCTCACCTCGCTATCCTTTTGAGTCTCCAGTGTCTTTCATTCCATACTCTATGTTCATGTGTATACATTATTTAGCTCCCACTTATAAGTGAGAACATACAGTATTTGTCTTTCCATTTCTGAGTTTTTTTCACTTAAGATAATGGCCTCCAGTTCCATTAATGTTGCAGCAAATAACATGATTTCATTCTTTTATATGGCTGAATAGTATTCCATTGTGTACTTATACCACATTTTATTTATTCAATCATCCATTGATGGACAGTTAGGTTGATTCCACATCTTTGCTACTGTGAATTGTAAATGGGAAAATTAAACCAGAAAGCTTCTCCACAGCAAAAGAAATAATCAACAGAGTGGACAGACAACGTGCAGAATGGGAAAAAATATTTGCAAACTATCCATCCGAAAAGGGACTAATATCCAGAATTTACAAGGAACACAAACAACTCAACAAAAAATAAATAAATAACCCCATTAAAAAGTGGGCAAAGGGTATGAATAGACATTTTTCAAAAGAAGATATACAAATGTCCCACAAGCACCTAAAAAATACCCAACACCACTAATTATCAGAAAAATGTAAATTAAAACCACCATGAGATAATATCTTATACCATTCAGAATGGCTACTATTAAAAAGATTAAAAAATAACAGATGTTGGTGAGGAAACAGAGAAAAGGGACCACTTATAGACTGTTGATAGGAATGTAAATTATTATCCCTATGGAAGACAGCATGCAGATTTCACAAAGAACTAAAAATAGAACTACCACTCAATCCTGCGTTATCTGTCTTAATGAATAACTTATCTTTGCTTTGCATTCCCAAATGTCATAATATTATGCATAATAGTTTACATAAATGTCTGGCTAGATTGCAAATATGTTATCCTTGCATGTAATGGAGATTCAGTGGGGAAAGTTTTAGGCCTGGACTTCAAATTCAACTCTAATATTGTGGAGATTTAAGAACCTACTGTTACCTTACTGAGCATCTTTTATTTTTCTCTTCTATAAAGAAAGGGTGGGGCCGGTTTGTTGAAATGTAAGATGTCTTTCACCTCTAACATTACAGAATTCTATAACTTCTGATTCCATGTATAATGTAGTTGTTAGTGGGCAGGATCTAGAATCAAAATAAAAAAAGAAAGAAACTGAATTGAATATTCTTTTTATCCAAATACTATCTGTGTTCTGAATGGCCTGGGACACTTATTTTGCTCTTAAAATATTACTTTTTTCATTAGTAAAGTCAAGATATTATTAATATTTACCACAGAGGGTTGTGTGAGAATTAAAAGATAATATATGTAAAGTACTTGGCATTGTCAAGCATGTGTTAAATGCTCATTCAATATTTGCCATTTTCTTGTAATGTCACTGATGGTGGTGGTGATAGTAGAGATGGTGGGGATGGCAGTGGTTTAGGGAAGAAGTGTTGTAGTAACTGTGTCTAAATTTTGTATTTGCCCTATATTTCAAATGTGTAGACGACTAAGACCACTTGTTTAGAGCAACTTAGAAGGGCACATGGTCACAGGAATTAATAAATGCACTTGAAGTTTAGGGATGGTGTTGTAGAAAGATGCTAAGATGCATGGGAAAGCCACTATGCTGCACCTCATCCTTCCACACTCAAGAGCAACTTGGAGAAGGTTAAGGAAACCAAACACTGACAATTATAGTTAAAACACTGTGTATCAGGACTAAACACTGAACATACAAGATTTAGGTTCAAAAAGAAAGAGAAGCAACTCAAATACCAAAAGGACTTGGAAAGATGACTATCAGAAATAGGATAATAGTCATGATTAATGAAGAAAAATAAACATTCCACACTTCCTCTGTGGAAACAAAGGACATAAATTGCTTTTGGATAAAATTAGATTGGCTATAAAGAAAAATGGTCTAACTCTAAGATTGGTCAGCACCAGTGTATTCTACAAAAGGGTGTACTGTGTCCTCGACTTGGTGATCCACGGATGTTAGGGTGAATGCATGTCTGTATAGACTAGTTAAGAGAATGTTATCTACAGAGGGAAAAATGCCAAGTAATTATTTGCAATTCCCAAGCTTTGATGATGATGAAACTTAACATGCTAAATGCTGCTATTTTCCAACATTGAGCTGCTGACAAAGAGATTTTTCAAGGGATTCCTTGGGCCAAATGTCTCCTTTAAAGACCTAGGGATAAGTCAGCTAGGAGTGGGTGCTTTCAAAGACCAATAACAACCAATCCCTAATTAGACACAATCTCCTAAGCAGGGTATGAACAGAGTAACAGAGACTGGCACTAGTAAATTAAAATTTTAAAATCCTGCTGTAATCACTACCCTGCTATGTCCCCTTCTTTAAGCTCCACTCTCAGTTATTTTTTATTTATTGTAATTACTTTAGTAATAAGATTTGTTTCCTTGTTATTATGCAGAGTAATGACAAAAAAAATGGCCAAAAAGAGTTATGTCTCTTATTTATCTCCTTGGCCATTAGTTATCGGACCAGAGGGAAGGGTAGGGGGCAGAAAGAAGCTGTAAATAGAGAAGAAAGCATTTTCTGTGGAGTGAAAATGTATGGGAGCATGTTTGCAAGAAGGAAGGTGGGCAATGAAGGAGTAAGGCTAATAATTCAAAAGGGCTATGTGGCTCAGAGAGATGAATAGCCAAGGAAAAGACAACCTGTAAATCGCGGTGGGGAGGTGGATCTGCATTATCAAAGTATATATGCTGCCTTTGACTTTCCTGCTTAGAAACTCCAGACTGCCAGGCAGAGTGATCCAGAACAGAGAGCAGAAGGCTCTCGGGCAATTTTCCAATGCCAGCCTTCGAGGTGCAATTCCTTCTGGTTCCTGATAGGTGCACTTTTCTAGGAAACTGGGCTTCTGTGATCTTGAGGCTTGGGTACCCACCCCAGGGAGGCAGTCCCCCGGCTGGGGAAGACAGACTCCATGCACCACAGATGCTGCTCATTACAGACACCCTGAAAAGCTCTTGGAGATACCTTGATGGAGGCTGATGATAGGCTGGCTTCTGAAGGCAAGAAGCCAGGGTTTTTCTCCATTCCAAGGTGCCAGTTAAATCTATTTGATGAGTAAGCATGAGGAAAAAAGGCATTAGCTGAACTACTCAGTTCCAAGCTTTCTCTGTTGCTGAATTTTTTGTACAACCTATTCAGTTCTATACTTGCCCCATAATTTTAAAATCAAAAGGATAACCAAAACTTTAACAAGATCTCTCTCTATATATATATAATATATGTTATATATATTATATAACATATATTATATATAATATTATATAATATATATTATAATATATATTATATATTTTATATATAAAATAGTATATTATATATATATATATATATATATATATATATATATCTACATTTGACCTTGTCTCTTCCTCTGCAAAATTTAGAATTTCTATCCTATTGCCATGGCTTATCCTGGATCTCTTTGCAAAACTAAAAAATGAAAAGCAGGAAAAAGATTATTAAGACTGTTTGGCCCTACCATTGAGAAGAACATAGATGCCCTACCACTGAAATTTAGGCATCAGAACACAATAAAAGGAACCATTACCTTTGTTCAGTACTTAATAGTTTTGAAGTACTATGGTACTTGATTGTGATATTAATCAAGTGAGGTGCAGTGGTTAGGGCTTACTACTCCCTTAAAAAGTGGAGCAAACAGGAGTAGAGAAGTTAAGTAAATTGTCCAAAGCCACACAGCTATAAAGAAGCTAACTTTGACCTAAAGTGGGTCTTCTTCTGACTGTCTTGTTGGAATTTTTTTATACTACATCACCACCACAATCATCACTGATGAAAACAAAGTAAAAGCCAGGGAGAATGAAGGAAAAGTAAAAACTGTTTCTCCTTGAGAAAAGCAGTGAGATTGCATTACAGTTCTGATAACACAGGGACAGGCTTTTCCTCTTCCTCTGCAAAATCAGAGCACCCCTGAGAGTAACTACCAAAAGAAAAAGCTTCCTCAGTTTTGGTGGGGGTTCTCAGAGCTATGCTTCCTATTTTCCCATTATAGGCTTTCATGTATTTTAGGAAGCCATGTATCACATCCATCCCTAAATACATGATAGATGTATTTAGAAATTGAGAAATAACTTATCTATATTATACCCAAGGGTTTGCTTTATAAAGATTTCTAAGTTTATGTTGAAATAAAGAGTTAGAAGTGGGGATGCTAAGAAGAGAGATGTCTAAAGGGGAAATTTAGAATGAAATAATAGATGCTCATCTACCTCCCTCTATCCCTGCATCCCTGCACGGATTTCTTCCTCCTATAGGAGGATCAGAGGAGGGGAGGAAGGAAAGGAGAAACATTGGAATGCGGACAGACATCAGAAGCTGCCCGGCCAATGAAAGAGCAAAGCATTGAACAAAACAAGTGCATTTCCTGAGGAGCCTCAGCCCCAACTTGATCAATGATTCTGCAACACTGAATCATTTTTAATTTAATGCTTCTGGGAAGTGAGGGGGGGAAACCCATCAACTACAGGCACAGTTGGCAAGAGCTGGGTATTAGAATTTGGCAGCATTTATTATCACTGTTTATGATGGCATAAATTAGGTTTATGCTGATATAATTAATAACTCTAAATTTGGGGATAATAAATAGTAATATTTATTCAAAATGGCAATGTCTGAGGAAGGCAAATGGAGTCCTCAAGCTCCTGACGCCTTCTGTGTATGCAGGCGATGGTGGGAATGGGGTGTATGTGAGGAAGCCCTTGGGAACACACTCCCAGAATCCAGCCCCAGCACTATGCATCATTTAACACTATGCAAATGACTTAGCAGCAGGACCTTAAGAGTTCCCAGAGCAAATAATTTCCATTTTGATCTCTACGAACAAGTTCATCAGAAAGATTGAGTGTGTTGCCCTCTAGAACCAGGGCCCTCAGTGCTGTCTGAGTCCATACTATGTCTGTGGTTTATGGACAGAGGTTTGGACGGTTGCACCAAGTGCCATGTTCTTCATGGGTCTCTCCACCTCCTTCCACTTGTCTGAAGACGCATTGCGGATGCCCTGCAAATTCTCTACAGACCATGATTTGGGAATTACTGACAGGCATTTGCCAGGCAGGAATTTAAGGCAGAAAACAGTTACTTCTGCATATTTTTTAAAATTTAAATATGTGTCTGTCTTTCATTTTATAAAGTTGTAAACAAAAGCTGTGAGATTAAACTATTCCTATAATGTTCATTTTTTGTTTTTTTGTCTAGGAGAATATCTTCACATTCAAAATGGCTGAGACCTCCACCCCTACTTTTTTTCCAGTGAGGGCAGGAGAAAGTGAGGAAAAATTGTAGTTCCTCAGACCCCTTCTGAATCAGAATAACAATTTTCCCCATTTTTAAATATAAGGAAAGTAATGCAAAGGAAGATTAAAAACCCTTTTGCCCATCTCCCCTTAGAGCATCTTGACACAGAGATGGATAAACAGGGTAGAACCAGAACCCAGATTGACATTTTCATCCAAACACTCAACCTCTGCTTCATGTCTCAAAATTCTTAAATTTTTCTAAAAACCAAATGAAGCAAAAATTTCCATCCACCAATAATTCTGCTCTGTTTCAAACAGTACAAAATAGCAAAGCAATCTAAATTAAAATGTGACGAATGAAACTCAGGAATTAAACATGATTGCAAGTTTAAGCTCCTTTGTCAGCTCCCAGGAAGAGCAGTTGAGTTCCATGTGGAAGGAACAGATGACTGGTAGAGGTTAAGCTTTAACTGCGAAGAGATTATGATTTTCGGATAGCAAACATTTCACAGAGAGATGTTACAGCAGGAGCTTTGAATTGCCCTAGCCTGTGCCTGAAAGGAGAAGTTTGGAGCTGAAACCTTGGAATGAGAATTCACAAGGGAGTCAGGGGAATTTTACTCCCCCATCTTGTCATTAGCATCATTTCTACAGAGAATATCAATAGAATTATTCATTTCCCAGAGGCCACAGAACATAGAGAACTTTCTCCTACAGGTTCTTCAGCTTGTGATCATGTAAGCTTTCAGAGAGGGGATGCAATGCCTTGAAGAGTTACAGAAAGAGAGAGATTGAGAAACAGAGATAGAGACAGGGAAAGAAAGAAAGAGACAGAAACGCCTGCTGGGAGCTGACCATGTGACAGCCAGTTGCCCTCTGCCTTTGCTGGTCTGCGCTGCTTCTTCCTGTCGCTCCTTCTCCCTCCTGCAGAGGAGTCCTGGTCCTCTGCCCTAGCTTTGTGGGTGAGCACTGCAAAACTCACACCCATAGGCATACAGGGAATGTGCATTTCAGAAGCCAAATGTGGACCAGCGAATCATGGGAAAGGGAATCATTCCCCCACATGATCCAAGAGTCCCACGATCATAAATCCAGCTTGGAAGGATCCACAGACCCCATGCTTATTAAACCTTAGCCTGTTGGAGAATGCCCAGACATAAAACAAGGCTCCCCAGTATGGCTTCAGTAATTCTTTCAAGACAGTAAATGATGACTAAAAGGAGAAAAAGGGAATTAAAAATGCTAAGTGATTGTTATGCGCACAAGTTCAACAAAAATCATACCTTCAATGAGTAGTACACAAACTTTACCTTCCTATCTGACCTATAGTAAAACATTTTAGAAGCCTTTCTGTTCTGGAATGACCTTACCTGGAGGGCCACATTTTAAGAGACTTTAGAAAGATTAGGTACACTCAGAACTAGACTTACAAGACATATATTGGGCACTTACCACTTCCCAAGTTCTATGCTGGAAACACTCAAGAGGAAAGACACCAGGATGATTGTCTAGAAGCTTTGACACAGTGGGGCTGTATAACCCTAGTGAAAAGAACAAGAGCTTTGCAAACAGATGAACCTGAGTTTAATTTCTGACTCTGAAACTTATTAGACACGGGACTGACCTTGAGTATGTCACTCAATCTCCTTTTGCCTCAGTTTCATTTTTCGGTCTGCAAAATGAAATTAAACAGTTTACTTTTTCAGGTAGTTGTAATAATTAGAAGTTATAAATATAAAAAATGAAAATAAAATCATGTTTATCCAATCAGATTGACAGAAAATGAAAAGGTTGATAATGTGTAGTGTTAACAAGCATATGAGGACCAGTCACTTCTATCCATTAGTACAAGGAATATAATCTGTGAATTTTCTAAGGAGGGTAATCTGGCAACAATATGTATCAAATATAAAATATGTATAACATCTGACTCAATTGACTACTTTAAAAATTTATCTTAAGAAAATAACCAGAAAAAATGCTAAGAATAAACAAAATATTCATCTTTCTACAGTTTATAATGAAGAATTGTTTACATTAATTATGGCCCCATCAATACTGAAAGATGGTTATTTTTAAAACTGATCATTTAATTTGTATTTTTGCCATAGGAAGATGTGGTTAGTTTATAAATTATACTACAAAATATATTATCTTATGAAAGTTAAAATAGAAATATACTTAAAGATATAGCTGATATACCTAAAGCTGTCAATTTATAGACAAATGGCTAAAATATCTCCTTCAACTTGCTAATAATGTTTTTCTCTGGGCAGCTTGATTCAGGAAGAGCCTCTACGTTACAAAATTCCAGAGGCACTATGTAATTATAATAGATTATAATGTAAATGATGCCCTTTGGAATTATACAATGCAATAGTCCTGAATTTAGGTGCCTTTAAATTTCTTCCTTAAGCTTTCTCTATACATATTGAATTGTTTATAATAATGATGTGCATTTTTTCCCACTGGAAACAATAAAATCATTTTGTTTTTTGAAAACAATGAAGTCACATAGACAGGGTGCTAAGAACCATACTACGGCATGTTGAGCACTCGGTAAATAGATACTTTGCACTTATTTTCACTTGTTGTTAAAACTCTGCAGACTACAGTGCTCAGATGCCCTTGACAGTTGACAGTAGGTTCTGCCAATGAGAAGCCCTAGAGAAAGATAGGAAGGCAAGTTGAGAAAGAAACACACTCTTTCTGTTTCCCAGTTCCAGTTAAGAAGACCAGAGCAGCTGCAATCAAATATGTCAATCCCTACTCCTTCAGCTCCCATAGTACCAGCATTGCTGCACTCCATCAAAGGCATCAGCAGCAGGAAGAACCAAATGGTTCCTTTACTATTTGGATACAGGCCACTCTAGACTCCTTCACCCTCTAGGCTGTGCCTGCTGTGCACTGAAGCCCTAGCCAGATCAGTCTCCCTTCACAGAGTTCCAAACACCAGCCTCATGGAGCCCCTCAACCTGCTAGGTTCTGGTAACTCCTCCTCTGGCATTTGCTTCCTCCATTATTACAGGTGGTAGCTGCCTCTACAGTTCTTAATCTTTTTTTTTTTTAGCATCTCCTTTTGAACTTAGACTTCTACCACTTGCGCGAACCTTGTATTAGATTTGTACTAATTCCTTATATTAAGTCTTATTTTTGAAACACCTATTATCTTGGCTGTATCATGTATCATTTTTATAATTAGAAAACAAATCTATTTTATTTTCTTAAATGTTCTCATTTTACTGAGTACATCTCTTAAAATGTATTAGCCATTGTACTATTTCCACTGTTCCCTTAGGAATTTCGTTACGTATGAGAGCCACTTTTCCCCTTAACCAATCTTAGGCATAGGCACTTTCTTTTTTGTTGTTGTTTTTTTGCTTTTTTGTTTTTTTGAGATAGAGTCTCACTCTGTTGCCCAGGCTGGTGTGATCTTGGCTCACTTGCAAGCTCCGCCTCCCAGGTTCATGCCATTCTCCTGTCTCACCCTCCCAAGTAGCTGGGACTACAGGTACCCACCACCACAGCTGGCTAATTTTTTTTTGGTATTTTTTAATAGAGACGGGGTTTCACTGTGTTAGCCAGGATGGTCTCAATCTCCTGACCTCGTGATCTGCCTGCCTCGGCCTCCCAAAGTGCTGGGATTACAGGCATGAGCCACCGCGCCCGGCCAGGCATAGGCACTTTCTTTAAAGCCCAGTAGCATAGCTGAAACAAGACTAGAAGACTGATTAACACTTAGATAGTCAATTATATAGCAAAAGATAACTACTCAAAAAAATTAAAACTGATTATTAGTATAGCTGTTCTCATTCTCAAGAGGCCACTTGTCTCCTCTGGCCTCCCCCATATGGCAGAGGCCATCATTCCTCTATGACCTACGGGGACCCCCTGGTTAGACCTGAGTATTCCCAATTTAAAGCTCAAGAGCATTGCCTCTTTCCCTTAAGGGCCCATTTTTCAGGTACATTTTCCTCTTCCAGAATTTTCCCTGTTCCTGGAAAAGGATGATTAACAGTGGGAATAACTAACACACTTATTGACTACACACTTCTTCCTGTCCACAAAGAAGCCTTCATGGGTACCAGCAGCATGGCTTATAGTGAACATGGCAAGTATGCTCATTGCCGTGATCTACAGGCCCAGCATCACATCTCCCAGATTATCTGCATAATCCCATGTAGAAAAGGCAGCAGCTCAAGAAACAAATGAGACTGAAACTTTCCCCAGTCAATTGTTTGGGATCTCAGAGAGTATCTTCCATTCTTACTTGTTCAAATGAAAAATGACATACTTACTAATCAGTCCTCTGTTTATTTAAATTCAACAGATCTGTGAAATCCAAAAGTCTGAGAGCCACTGCTGCATGTCATTATACCAAAGGACTTTAAATACATTCAAAAGTAGAGCTGAGTTCAAAATGGGAAGGAAAAGGCCTGGCCCAGCCCAGAGGAGACAGTCTAAGCTCCTGGTGATCCTGGCGAGTTGAGTGAAAGTGAGCCATAGAACAGAAGTCCCATGACAATAAATATTCACAGTCAGCTGAGGTGTTTGCAGCCAAAAGCTGGCAGTGACAGGGAAGGACACAGCATTCTCTAGTAGAGAAAGCTGGAAAGTCAAGGTAGAGTGTCCAGGATCAAGCCCAGCTAGGAAGTGAGGATGAACCAAATCATTCATCCCGGGCAAGAATAGCAGAAATCTGGGCAAGGCTGCGCCATGGCTTCTCCCAGGCACCCTGGATATGAAGATCTGAGTCAGCAAGATGAATTTCAGAACCAAGCAGCTGATGGGGCTAAGACTCTATTTATATCTCTATCCAAGGTTGGGAAGACCTGATAGACCAAAATGAACAAAGGATTTGAAGTTAGCTCTCCCACAAGCTAGTCATATAACCTTGGGCATGGATGTGTGTGTGTGTGTTTTCAATATCTAGACAATTTCTTATGCCAGTTCCATGTTGAACTAGCTATGTAATTGTGGATAACTCACTTACCTCTTTGGTCTCAGTTTCCTTATCATTTGAATGACTGGGACTAAATAATATACAAGAATCTGCCCTGCAAGAACATGTTAAGGTTCTTACATTCTAACTCCCTTAAATATCTACAGCAAAGTAATGTGGGATAGACTTGAGTTCCTGGCTCTGTAACACCAGCTGTTTAAACTGCACTCAAAACTGAACGCCTGTGTGCTCAACTTTTCTTATCTAGAAATTGCATAGAACACCTACATTTGTTGGGCTATAGTGATGATTAAGTAAGACAATATATGTAAAGGAACTAGCTTCTTTCTTGGCCCATAAAAGGTGCTGAATAATTTTTTAGATGGATTCTGTGAGTGCTCTTATTGTAAAGTCTTCACAACCCACAGTGGAGTAAACACTACTGGCACTAACTTTAAATGGTCCCAGATTGTTAAAATGGTCAAGATTTTGTATCTGATTTTTATAGCTTGATTTGTTTCCTCTAGTGCATTCAACTATTATGTTTTAATACCTTGGTGTATTTACTTATAGTGGAGTCTTTGCTCTTTATTGCTGTTTGCTTCTGTTCCACAATGGCCTTGAAAGAAGATAATCAAGTTTTTAGAGTTGTATATACTCTAAGAATCAATATGCCCTGGTTCTCCTGTAAATAAAATGTTAGGCTGTGTGTTGACTTTATAAAAATTATTTTGTTACTACCACCCAACAACCAAGATAAAAAGATTGGGAATCATGCTTGACTTATCCTCTCCCTCACCCCGTGCTCATTTATACATCATGTCTACCTTTAATGCAGTTCAGGAATCACCTGTCTTCTCCCCACTTCCCACTCTAATCCAGCTACCAATTATCACTTCTGCTCTAAGAAAATCTGTTGACTGCCCATTCTATTTTTACCCCACCTTGGGAAGATTTTTAAGTGTCAAGAAACCGCTGGATCAGTCCTCCTGATTTACTTAGAACTCAGCCCAATTCAACACAAACTACCAGGCCAGAAAGATGACAAAATGTTTGTTTGTTTGTTTGTTTTTGAACTTAACATAACCTTCCATCTTTGTATTTTCTTTCCCTGTTCAGACATGTGTTGCTAAGAGATCCTTGGCTTGGCAGGACTCCCTAAATTTTGCTGGGAAATCATGCCTTTATTTCACTGGACACTCTTATCAAAAGCTATCAGGCACTCTCAGAAGCTCCATCACCATCACCACAAAAGGAAACGGGTCTGCTTTTATTCATTATTGCAAGCTCCATAAGGCCCATTTTTATTGGTGAGAGAGAAGTAAAGCCTTGTAGGCTAAGTGCCAAGTTCAGGTTTTGGTTCTCTAATCTTTATGCAAGGATTGTCTCTTTACTGATCAGACAACACACAGGACATTTCTTTCACCTTTAAGAAGCCTACTAAGAATGCCCACATTAATCACTTCTATTCAACATAGTACTTGAAGTCCTAGCCACAGCAATCAGACAAGAAATAAAGGGCATCCAAATCTGTAAATAGGAAGTCAAACTGTCACTGTTTGCCAGTGATATGATTATATACCTAGAAAACCCTAAAGACTCATCCAAAGAGCTCCTACATCTAATCAATGAATTCAGTAAAGTTTCAGGATACAAAATCAATGTACACACACTGCTATACACTAACAGTAACTAAGCTGAGAATCAAATCAAGAACTCAGTCACTTTTGCAACAGCTGTAAAAATAAATAAATAAATAAATAAATAAATAACCTAGAAATACACTTAACCAAGGAGGTAAAATATCTCTACTAGGAAAACAAAACACTGCTGAAAAAAAATCACAGGTGACACAAACAAATGGAAACACATCCCATGCTCATGGACAGGTAGAGTCAATATTGTGAAAATAACCATGCTGCCAAAAGCAGTCTACAGACTCAATGTAATTCCCATTAAAATACCATCATCATTCTTCAAAGAACTAGAAAAAACAATCCTAAAACTCATATGAAACCAAAAAAAGAGGCCACATAACCAAAGCAATACTAAGCAAAAAGAACAAATCTGGAGGCATCACATTACCCGACTTCAATTGTACTACAAGGCTATAGTTACCAAAACAGCACGGTGCTAGCATAAAAATAGGCATGTAGACCAATGGAACAAAATAGAATATCCAGAAATAAAGCCAATACTTAACAGCCAAGTGATCTTTGACAAAGCATACAAAACATAAAGTGGGAAAAGGACATGCTATTCAATAAATGGTGCTGGGATAACTGGCAAGCCACATGTAGAAGAAGGAAACTAGATCCTCATCTTTCACCTTATATAAAAATCAACTCAAGATGGATCAAAGACTTAAATCTAAGACCTGAAGCCATAAAAATTCCAGAAGATAACATTGTAACAACTCTTCTAGGCATTGGCTTAGGCAAAGAATTCAGGACTAAGAATCCAAAAGCAAATGCAACAACAACAACAAAAAAAGAGACCTAATTAAACTAAAAAGCTCCTGCACAGCAAAAGAAATAATCAGCAGAGTAAACAGACAACCCACAGAGTGGGAGAAAAATCTTTGCAAACTATGCATGCAACGAAGGACTAATATCTAAAATCTACAAGGAATTCAAACAAATTAGCAAGAAAAAAAAATCCCATCAAAAACTGGTCAAAGGACACGAATAGACAGTTCTCAAAAGATATACAAGTAGCCAACAAACATATGAAAAAAATGCTCAACTTCACTAATTATAAAGGAAATGCAAATTAAAACCACAATGAGATACCACCTTACTTCTGCAACAATTGTCATAATTAAAAAATCAAAATGTAATAGATGTTAGCGTAGATGTGCAAAGAGACCACTTTTACACTGCTGGTGGGAATGTAAGCTCGTACAATCACTATGAAGAACAGTATGGAGATTCCTTAAAGAACTAAAAGTAGAACTACCATTCAATCCAGTAATCCCACTACTGGGGATCTACCCAAAGGAAAAGTCATTATATGAAAGTCACTTGAACACACATGTTTACAGCAGCACAATTCGCAATTGCAGAGATATGGAACCAACCTAAGTGCCATCAACCTATGAGTGGATAAAGAAAATGTGAGATATATAGAAATACATATATATATATATATCAGCATGGCATAAAATGGAATGAAATAATGGCCTTTGCAGCAACTTGGATGGAGTTGGAGACTGTTATTCTAAGTGAAGTAACTCAGGAATGGAAAATCAAATATCATATGTTATCATTTGTAAGTGGGAGCTAAGCTATGAGGATGCAAAGACATGAGAATGATATACTGGACTTTGGGGACTTGTGGGGGAAGAGTTGGGGGGTGAGGGATAAAAGACTACACATTGGGTACAATGTACACTGCTCGGGGGATGGGTGCACCAAAATCCCAGAAATTACCACTAAAATAACTTATCCACGTAGCCAAAAAAAAAAAACCTGTTCCCCCAAAACTGTTAAAATACATTACAAAGGACAAAAGACCACAGCGTCACAAAAAGGAGCCTATTAATAAGAATATACCCAGAGAAAACCAGTGAAGATGAGAACATCGAAAAAAATACCATATACACAAGATTTAGGTGAACTGCATCAAGGTTGGAGAGAACTTCACATGGGAAAATTCAGGCACGGATGAGGGGGATTAGATTTTATCCATGGGATATCCTAAGGGAGGAATGATTAAAATGGGTGAAGCTCACAGGACAAAGATCAAAACACAGTAAAACACAAATCCACCTGATGATACACAACAGAGTGGGCATGCCCTGAAATAAAATGTCAATTACAGAACTAGTTCAAGCAGAAATTAGATAAACCATGTGTTACGTATGTTCTAAGGAAGGGTCAGGCACTGAGACTTTTAAGCTCTTTTATGATGAGGCATTATCCATTCAGGCAGTCTCAAGTTTTTTCATAATGATGTGCTACGACCTGTAGATTTTTCCTTCAGTAGAATAACACTATGATTTCCAAGTCCCTTTCAGCCAAAATTGTTTGGGTAATCCAAGTGATCTACAAAGTGCCTTGAGCTCCATGATGAAAGATGCTATATAAATGAAAAGGTAATTTTAGTCATATCATAATAAATAATGGTAATGATGATAAATGCCAGTGTCACTAAGGAGAAGCTGGCCTGCCATTTGGGAATCCAAAGCAACCAGCTGTGAGCTGGAAATAATGTGTGTCCAGGCCAGGAGGATACTCAGTGACTGAGATCACATTAACCTTTAAACCAAAGATCTGGATAAATCCCCTGGTTTGGTGGTGTAAGCATTTAAAATTGAAGAAACTACAGTACTTAATCCCTGAGCTTGAATATTGCCTTGGGTTTCTGAGACCTTTTCCAGAATGGTCAACAGGGAGCATGTTGTCTTCCTCTTCCAACAGAAGAGAAAACTGACTAGGGCAGGAGAAAAGCCAGAATTCCCAACGAATCATATGACTCTAGATCCAGGGCTCTTTCCATTCTCTACTGGACCTCAGACAATTCCAGCGAAGGAGAGATTTCAGAAAAGAGCCAACTTGGATGAGAAAATGTCAAAATGGGATCATGTCCCTCAAGATGCCTTGCATAACTGTTTTCCATCCATTTAGGCTGAGAAAGTTTGCTAGTAAAATCTTTGGCTGCTCAAGCAGGGAGGAGCCATTCACTGATGTCCCAGAGCTGTTCTCTGCCATTAAAGGAACACATAGCAAGAGTCGGCTGAGTTCTGTTTGACCAGGAGCGAACACTGCTTTGGGGCCTTTCCAGCTTGAGAGCTCAGAAGGCTAATTTCTTTCCAAGGTCTGATCGAGTTTCTTAGTGAAGAACTTGGCCTCCCAGTTTTCCCATGTGCTTAAAGGCCAATCAGTCACCACAGAGAAAGAGAAGAAACCCTGCTCTCTGCCCAACATTCTCTGCCCTCAAATAATCTCTATAAAAAAGTAAATAAAATGAAGTCTGGCAACAGCTAAGCTGGGAGGAGCTCACCTGTAAGGAACACATGGGTACATGGGTGTCTTTCCTTTCTGTATGTGTGTGTGTGTACTGAAATTTTATTTTTATGGTCTGTAGCTTTTATTTGCTTTCCTTTAACCTGGTTTAACATATTTCATCATTTGGAATTTATGCTTTTCATCTTTTTGTAATTTATCATCTTCATACTTTTAACCTTTTCAACTTATCTATCTTCGGTGCTTATCTTTTGAAACTAGTCTATTCTTGGCTGTTTAACACTTAAATTGTTTCTTAAAAATTGAATTATTTCATCTTTCTTACATCATTCTTATTTATTTTAAGTCATTTTCATTTTATTTCTTTGAAGTTTTTGTGCTTTTAGCATTTCTTTATAATTCTCATTTTGTCTCTTTCATTTAACAATTTTAATATTGCTCTATTTTATAGTTTTCTAAACTTCTTTTTTGCTTCTTTGATACTAATTTTTATTAAAAATACATTTTCCATTGTAGGTTTTGAATTTTTTTTCCTTCAATGTTTTCAGTTTATCTTGTATTCTCTTTTTCTCATGGGATAGAATGTCCATTCCTATTCATCTATTACCATGGCAAGGGGCGGCTTTATCCTTTGCCCACAAAGTTTGAAAGACCTCTTTGTGGATGTTAATCCTGTCACCCTCATGCACCACCTGTGTGACTTTGGGTGCCTCATCTGATGTCTGGGCCTCAGCTCACAAACTCTGAGAATGTGGTCCATTTCAACAGAGCTCACCAGGCACAGGAGCCATCTTTCCCATCATATATTTCGAAGAGTTCTGTAAGGGCTAGGTAAAGAGAAGAACAACCTCAACTTCTGTTTTTCAGCTGACATTTTATTTAGCTAGAGGGACACCATTCTTATAGCTGTGTCCTATCAGAGCTAATTGAGAATAAAGATTTCCCTGTAGTAAATATTAATAAGTAAATAAAAGCATTGGTCTTACTCTGAAGAAATCACAGTTTGGGCCCTGACTTTATCATTAACCCACCATGTGATTTGGACAAGTCATTTGATTACCCTGGACACCAGTTTCCTCCTTTTTAAAAGAAAAATGTTAAACTAGATTCTTCCTCTGCTATTAATTGCCTGTGATTCTATAGCTTCCTATTTTTTAATTAATTTGTTTTGTAGAGGTGGGGTCTCACTGTGTTGCCCAGACTGGTCCAAGTCTCAAGTGATCCTCCTGCCTAGGCGTCAATTCTATACCTTTCTATTCAAAGAAACCATGAGACTGACATCAGTGTGTATGGAAAGTATGTTGTTATTTGTAGCAGAAAACAGAAAACCAAGAGTTTATTCTCGACAGAGTACCGAGGCCTCTCCAATCACGCCTACTTGGTGAAATGACAGTGTCACTGTGGTAGCATAATTGTGGGTTTGGCTGAGCCAGGTGCCTGACATACTTGCCGTTGATGACACCATCTGGGTTGAGCATGGGTATGATCTTGAAGATGAAGTTTTCCCTCAAGAGCCTAGCCACAGGGTCACTGCTGACCAGGAACTCCAAGGTACCCTTCATCACCCAACTGGCATTGCTCTCTCCTGGATGAACTCGAGCAGTGATCACCTGATATGGACGATGTCCTGCAGAAAAAGGGACATAAGAAAATTAAACCCAAATTTTAATATTGCTCTATTTTATAGTTTTCTAAACTTCTTTTTTGCTTCTTTGATACTAATTTTTATTAAAAATACATTTTCCATTGTAGGTTTTGAATTTTGTTTCCTTCAATGTTTTCAGTTTATCTTGTATTCTCTTTTTCTCATGGGATACGATCTTACTCATACAGAATCTAAAAAACCGTAGCCTTTTTGAAGATACAAACTGATTTTCACATGATTGGCATGAGGTTTTAAATAGATGGATTGCTCCTAACACATATCTGATCTACATTTACCCATTTTCTATCTTCCTCTGTGGTCTGCAAGACTCAAGAAAGTATGAAGGTACAGCTCAAGGCTGTCATCAAAAATGTAACTATTTGATGGTATGAAAAGAACCCAAGAAGCAGATTTTATCAAGATCACAAAAGAAATAACTAATTCTCCAGAGTTCAATAGCATGATGCTAGATGTCACAAATCTGAGATTGATTATCTTCATCTCTCACTACCTCTGGGATCTCAGGCAAATGAATTAATTTCTTTCACACTATCTCCTATCTATAAAATGGGGACAATAATACTGACTTTATGTGGTTGTTATAAAAAACAAAAAGAAGTAAATATAAAGCACTCACTATATTGCCTGCCATTCAGTATGTGTTAGCTCTTTCCCTCCTCATTCGTAAAGTCTGTGGGTGGGATGGTCCCTCTCATTCCTTAGCAGAAATAGAAGGCAAGTAACAGAAGCAGTATCTTTGGAATTCCATGACTGTAAGACCCTGAACCCAGTCCTTGAGAGAGATTTGACAAAAGAGTTAAATATCTGGAAGCTCAATCTTGGAGTTACAATGCTTGCTTCACTTTGCAAAGGGAGTCAGGAAAACACTCTCTGCCCAGTTACAGGTAGTGTATTGACATGAACAGTCTTTATGGAGAATGTGCTGATGAGGGAAAGATAGGAATGTCTTCCCTCCTTTGTTTATAGAAGATAGCTGGAGTATCATAGTGCTGAAATGCATTTTAAAGCCATGTCTGGGCTCAGGTGGAAAATGTGTTTTGATTCATTTACTGACGTGTGTGTGTATATATATATATATATATACACACACACACACACACATATATATACACACACACGTATATGATTTTATATATATACACATATATATGAATATATGATTTTATATATATATATATACACATATATATGAATATATGATTTTATATATACACACACACATAGATACAATAGAATACTATTCAACCATAAAAAAATGGAATTCTGTCATTTTCAGCAACATGGATGAGTCTGGAGGACATTGTGTTAAGTGAAATAAGACACACACGGAAAGACAAACATGATACGATCTTACTCATACAGAATCTAAAAAGCCGTAGCCTTTTTGAAGATACAAACTGTGTTTCAAATTGTGCACAAAGAAAGAAAAAATTGAATATCTTTTGATAACAGAGCTAAAGAATAGGCAATGGAAGATATAAAGAAAACACTTTAAAATTACTGAATTATGTTATTATCATCACTAAGACCAAAAAAAAAATAAAACCTAAAGACTATCTGTCTCTTCCGTATTTCTGCTGACAGCCATTAATCCACTGAGGTCTAGATTTAAGGGGTGTAGATCAGTGCATTTTTACTGACTACGGTGAAAACAGGTTACTTCAGCTCCTTGTAGGTCACCTATACACTGGAGGTAACACTCAGCTATATTTTCCCTTAAGCAGGTGTCTTGAGCATATTCCAAGAACTGCAGGAGCACTGGGTAGAAAAAGTTGAATAAATTATAGTCCTTGTTCTCTAAGAGGCCATAGCATTTGTCAGTAGTGACAAATATGAAAGAAAATAATTACAAGTGAGCTAATGGAGGTGTATACAAAACACCAAAATAGATATGACTGAGAGAGGTAAGGCCATTTCCAAAGATGTGATGGTATTCACATTGGAGCTTGCAAAATAAGTATTATTTACCAGATGGAGACGGTGAGGAGGGTCTTCTGAACAAAGAAAGGGACATATGCCAAAACCAGTGGCGCAAAAGTCGATGAATTAAAAAATGAAGACAAGTTATGTGTGGCTCAAGCAAAGGGCTAGAGATGATGGAACATAAATTTTAAAAAGTAGGCTAATATTAAACTGGTAAGATCCTTTCTTATATATTTTGTTTAGGGATTTGGACTTCATCCTGTAGATCAGACATTCTCAACCATAGAGTCAGTGTCTCACTGATATCCTGTGATAAGTAACAGAGTATATTGCAGAGTCATCAGTTACCAATAAAAGTGCAAGTGCTTATGATATTACATACATGGCACAAACTGCCGGTCACCTGCCCAGTAGCCTTTCTCCCTTTCTTTCTTATTACCAGGACCCTGATTTTTGAAGGGGAAGGAATTTGTCCATATTAAAATACTAGCTTCATGGATCCTTTTGTAGGTAGGAGTGGCCATGTGACACAGTTGTGTCCAGTGACATTTAAGTGTTACTAGAGTGTGAGTCCTTCTGGAAAACTAATTAAAGGGGACAGTTTCATCTGGTAAATGCCTACTTGGTTTTTGTGTCTTGTCCTTCGCCCTTCTTCTTCCTCCAGTTTTGCACATAGATGTGATACCTTCAGATGAGAAAGCCAACTTGAGAATCAAAGTCACATGCTAAAGATGGTGACTATAAAAGTAGAGGGAGCCAGGGTTCTTGGCAAATTCCTTAAGCAGCTATACCACATTTTCACCAGCTTCTTCGTTACTTCTGGATGTTTGAGAACAGTAAACCACTATTTGGTTAGGCCACTGTACTCATGTTTTTGCTACACCCTGTTAAACTCAATGTAAGATCAGGTTTAAAGTCATCCTTATAATAATATTACCTTGAATGACATGCATTCGTGTGTGCTTTCTAGATTGTGGAGAAAAGAGTGAAATAGTTGTAGGGAGAATGATATTTGACATGTGTGTTTTAGAAAAGAACAATTGAGAACCGCTATCTTAAGAAAAAGGGAGATGATGCATTTTCATCAGAAGAAATATATGCCAAAGGCTGTGCTTTATAAAACGAATTCTGAAATTATTATAGATGACATGTTTACCCAATCAGGGACAGTACAGCATAGTGAATTAGAGAACAACTTTAGGAGCCGTATTTCCAGGGTTCAAATTCCAGCCTCACCATTTTTAACATGAGATGAGTTATGTAAGTTTCTGAAAAAACTGGGCAATGGATTTGTCTTACTTTTTCTGGGCTTCCATAGCAGAATACCATAGACTGTGTGGCTTATAAACAACTGAAATTTCTTTTTTACAGTTCTGGAGACCAAGAAATCTATGATTACGGTGCCAGCAAATTCTGTGCCTGGTGAGGCCCCGCCTTCTGTTTCTTAGATGACTTTCTTTTTACTGTGTCTTCACATGTGGAAGGGACAACTGAGTTCCCGCAAGCCTCTTTTCTTAAAGTACTAATCCCATTTATGAGGGCACTACCCTCATGACCTAATCAACTTCCAAAGGTTCCACCTTCTGACACCATCACTTTGGGAATTAGGATTTCAACATATAATTTTGGGAGGACATACATATTCAGTCCATAGCAGATTAGGTGTTCTGCACCATAGGACTAATGACTCACTAACTGAAACTTTCTAAAAAAAAATGTTGGAAAGAAGGAGATGTACAGTTAGCTAGCTAGGCACAACTGAAATTAACGGGAGGTCAACTTTCCTACTATATCATTTGCTCACAGTTGGTTTCGCTTTTTCCAAAGCAAGCTGTGTTGGCACGCCAATAAAAAGCTTGTTTCGAAATAAAGAGGCTTGATGAATTTGTACCCAACCAGTATCCTATTTTCGGTTCTATAATTCCACATCACTCTCTTTGTGATTTTTGAACTATGTTCATTTGCAGCATATTGGACAACAATAGTAAGTGCTTTCAGCCCAGCAAGAAGAAATAAAAAATGGCTTAAGCTCTTGTAAATTTTTGACACTAACAAAACACTTCCATTGTCTGGGCCAGTTGGCTTCCATTGCCTGATATACCTAGTACAACGCAGTACATTAATCAATAAGCCAAATGCAAGCTCTAACAGAGAGACATCAACAATGTGTCTCTTTCCATTGGAGAGTCAAGTTGATAATCTGCTGTATTGTAATACACCACAAGACCTTGCAGGCTGTTCTAGTATCCTGAAGAAGCAAATGGGGACAACGATGGATTCTCATGAAGACATAAGCAGTATTTTAGCCAGTTCTAGTTGGCTTTCCTCTCTTCCCCTCTGTGATTTAAGACAATTTTGCAGTCATGTTGGTAAGTTAAACTTACAAGACCATTCAATTGTAGCAGCAAATGGTACTCCAGAGAACTCATAATGGACAACAGCTGTAAATAGTATGCACCACACATACCATGTGGTTTTTTCTTGCAATTGACAATCTCAGTCTTAGTAACTCGTGTCTGCTTAGGGTCAGGCAAAAAGTGCCAGATATTTGCATTTATTTTTTTCTGCAATTAATAAAATATGTTTCAGTGACCACCATAGTCTACGGGGGAGTCATGGTTTGGACAGATTTTTATTCTTAAAGCTATATATTGAATTTATAGTGGTAATGACATCTGTAAAAAGAGATTAGGAACAAGTAGGGGATTGAATAATGCCTAAGAGATATCAGGCCTTTAGGCCAATGAAAAGTTGAGTAAAAACTGAAGACATGTGTGATGATAAACATGTGTACCCAACTATATAAACATCCATTCATTTATTCCTTCTTTCTTTCAACAATATATATTAAGCTTCTACTGGCACTCTGCAGGGTTCTGTAGATTACAAGATAAATAATGGTTTTTTGCTCTCAGGAAACTAATAACAGTCTGGTAGGAAAGAAAGGCACACAGATAATTACAATCCAATGCCATCAGGGACATTCATCAGGATATTTTCAAACACAGTGGAGTATTCATTGTGACATCATTTATACTAACGCAAACAACTGTAAATGACTTAAACACACATTCATAGGAAACTAGTTCAGGAAATAATATGCAAAACAGAATGCTATGCAGCCATTAAAAATAATACATAAGTCTTTTTCTGTCAACAGAAAAAGGTACCTGTGATATAACAGTGAGTGAAAAAAAAATAGACGACAGAGTGCATCACAGAAAGATCCCATTTGTATGTGGCTGTAAAATTTATACAAAGGTATCTATACATACAGACAGCTGCAAGTAGAGGTAATCTACGTGATTTTTAGGTCATCTTTATCCCTATCTGGAATGTTTACTTTTTTAGAGAATAACAATCATATGTCAATTTCACAAAGGCAAAGTATTTTCAAATACTAAGGCACCACAGGAGAAGAAGAGTAAAAAAAATGAATTTTCACAGAAAAGGTAACATTTGATCTGGTCTGTCCAGTTTAATTGTTTGCCAAGTAAAGAAAAGAAAAAAGAAAGGTAGTAGAAATGGCCTAAGTAGACGTATTTGCAAACGTCTGAGGTCATAAAGTACATAATACCCAAGGAAAAATGAAATGGTTTAATGTGACTAAAGCACAGGCCGTTTGGAAGGCAAGAGAAGAAATGAAGGTACAAAAACTAAGTTCCTGCCTGCTTCTGCAGCCCTTTCTGGGGCATACTAAGGGTTTGGGAACAATCTTGTATGCTATGGAAGCACCACAAAAAAAAAAAAAAAAAAAAAAAAACCAACAACAACATTATACAAAGGTATGATCAGACGGGGCTTCTTGGAGCTGAAGAATTAGATAGTGGGATTAAGGGGTAGAAGAAATGGCCAGGAGAGCAGGTTTGATTTCAAGGTGGAATCATGCAGCTAACATGAAGTCCAGCAATCCTAGAAGAGAGTGTACACAACCTGATAGAAGGAAAACAGGAGAGGAAGGAAGGAGACAGGAAACAGGAGTGGAAAAGGAAGTGGAAAGATTCTGAGAAAAAAAATAAAATGAGAAAAATTTGTATATAAGACACATGCTACGTTTTCCAAAAAAGGTACATACTATGCACATTTTATGCATTGTGCATTTTTCATTTACCAATGTATCTTGAAGATATTTCCATATCAATATTAAAAGATGTTTCTATCTTTTTTATTAGTTTTATTGTGATATAATTTACAGACATAAATTTTACCAATTTTATGTTACAAGTCAATAAATTTTGACACATGTATACAGTGTTGTAAAATCAAATGATCATGATAAAATTATTATTGTCATCTCCGATATTCTCCTCATTTCACTTTGCAGGCAATCCTTTCACCCCACCCCTAGCCTCTGGCAACCACCGATTTGCCTTTTTTTTTTTTTTTATCACCATAGTGCTTCGTTTTCTGGAATTTCATAATTAAATCATACAGTGTGAGTAACGGTGGCTCACGCCTGTAATACCAGCACTGTGGGAGGCCAAGGCAGGCAGATCACCTGAGGTCAGGATTTCAAGACTAGCCTGGCCAACATGGCAAAACCCCATCCCTACTAAAAATACAAAAATTTGCTGGGCATGGTGGTAGGCGCCTGTAATCCCAGCTCCTTGGGAGGCTGAGGCAGGAGAATCGCTAGAACTCAATAGGCGGAGTTTGCAGTGAGCCAAGATCACACCACTGCACTCCAGGCTGGGTGACAAGAGCAAAACTCTGTCTCAAAAAAAAAAAAAAAAAAAAAAAAAATCATACAGTATATAACTTTTCTGCCTGGCTTCTTTAACTTAGCATAATACTTTTGGGAGCTATCTATGTTGTTGGATGCATCAGTAATTTCTTTTAATCACTGAGTCGTATTCCAAGGTACCACATAGCAATGAATATGCCACAATTTGTTTATTCTCTTACCTCTTGATAGACATTTGAGTTCTTTCCAGTTTAGGGCCATTATGAATAAAGGTGTTAGGATCAAAGAATGTTGTTGGGTACAATGTCCCATATACACCAATTAGGTCAAGTTTGTTAGTCATATTTCTCATATTGTCTATATTCTTACCAATATTATATCTGCTTGTTCCATGAATTATTGAGAGTGGTATGTTAAAATCTCCAAAGATGATTGTGAATTTGTCTATTCCATATTATGTTGTCAATTCTTTATTTTTAGGCTATGTTATTAACTGCATACAGATTTAGAATTATTATATTTCCCTGCTTAACTGAACTTTTTATCATTATATCTCTCCAGTTCTCCTAAGGCATTGCCTTAATGTCTCCTTTGTGTGTATAAATATAGCTTTGCTGGCTTTCTTTTGGTTAGTATTTAAAATATATATTTTTTCATCACTTTCAGTGTTTCCATAGCTTTACAAGTATTTCTCTTTTGAAGCACCATATGGTTGTATATTGTATTTTATTTAGTCTAGCACTGTTTTATCTTAATTGAAGCATTTAGTCAAAATTTCCATTTGATATAATTAATGATTTATATTGGCATATAGCTATCAATTTAATATTTGCTCTCCATTTGTCCTAATGTACAATCAATTCTTTTTCCCATCTGACCTTCATTTGGATTGATTGTTTTTTTCCCATTGTTTCTTTTTTCTCCTCTATTAGCTTAAGTTATACATCCTTCTATTCTTTTTCAGCAGTTACCTCAGAGATTACAAGGTACTTCTTTGATTTATTATAGTATAATATAATCTACTATATTTTAGTTTCCACTACATATCCTAAAATCCATAAGACATTTACATTTATTGTGTAATAAAGTCAATATTGATTTAAACCACATATTTACTCTTTTAATTACTCCTCACTCCTTGCTGCATCTACAAACTTTCATCAGGTTTCATTTTTCTCCTGCCTGAAACTCACCTTTTAGTGTTTCTTCTGATATGAATCTGCTGGCAGTGAACATATGCACTTCTGATTTGTCCGAAAGTGAACTCATTTTATCCTCAGTTTTGAAAAATATTTTTGCTGGGCATAAAATCGTATCACCCTTGCTCATAACCTCTCCATTTTCCACATCTCTCCATGTTTCTTCCACCAAGATTGTGCAAGAACTTGACAGCTTTTAACAGTCTTTAGGTACCTGGAAACTTGTCTTCTCATTTTCAGAAATAGAAATGTGTGTTTTTGTTTTCTGTTGTATGTGTTCTTTCTACATGTTTTCCAAGACAAGGAAAAAAACTTTTATCGAAATTTCCAGATTATTGAACTTTCTTATACTCCTTATTTTTTTAATGTTTTCTGTTGATTCTCTTAAAGTTTCCAGGAAAATAATCCTAACCCCTGCAAATAATAAAGTATTTTCTTCTCTTCAAAAGCTATATCAGTTATTACCGATACATTTCTAATTTCTCAAAATTTTCTCAATACTGCAAAATAAAAAGAATCCTTTAAATTCATGCCATGTTATTACAACTGGTAGATATATGACATAGTAACAAATAATTCTGACTAGCTCTGTTCAAATGTGTGGGATTGTATGTAAACACATTCATGGCATTTTTATAGCACCTTGCAGCAGAGAAGGCGTTTTCACCTGTATTATTCCTTTGGTATTGAGAGTAAATCTGTGAAGTAGGCAAGGCAGGAATTATCACTATCTTGCTTATAAGGCAAGAAAAGAGGGAAAGCAAGCGAAAAACTTAGGTGTTCTGAATCAAAATCCAATATTCTTTTCATTTCATTATGTATTATTTTGCCTGTATAGATTTAAGAGGAAGGCCAAAATGAATCTTATTGAGACAAAATATGATATAGTGAGGGAAGAAGTACCATGTAAAGTATGAATTGGAAGACTTTGGTTTGAGATCTCGTTCTGCCTCTCACTGATTGAATGGATTTGGGAAAATTAAAATCTTTTGAAATCTGTTCTCTACCCATAAAGCAAGGCTCTCCTAAGTCTTTGCTGCACTAAATTTAATGATTATCAATGGCAATGTGAAACAGGGTAGATGAAAATCAAACTTTTTACCCAATGGTTTCAATCTGCTTTAATTCTATTGGTTCCTTCAGTATTCTTTTAATAGAGCTGCTAACAGGAAGCAAAATTACATGGAGCTCCTTCATCTCTCTTTTCCTCTTTTCCAATATTCAGATGCTAGTGCTAATAAGCAGAAAAGTGGTCCAAAGTTGGGTGGTAGCAGAAGAAAATAGAAAGTGCAGGTAATCACGGCTAATAATCAGCTTCAGAACAACGAAGTGTGAGCTGGCTTTCTCTTGCTGGGACACAATTCCTTCCCAGATGAGCAGGGTTTGTCTGCACCCAAGCCATCTTTTACAAACTCTTAAGCTGTGATCTTTCTGACCCATATACCACTGGAATAATAAACTGACCAGATTATCATTTCCAAACCATTTGCCTTCACCAGAAATTGTTCTTCTTCAGCCCTACCCGCCTTCCAGTGACAGGAAGTAGCCCCAGACCCTGTCCCTCCCAGAACTTTGCACTCTGCCTTTTCCCCAAAACCTGACATGTGACCTCCATTACCTCCAGATGACAAGGAGCCCAAGAAGCTCTGACATCTTTCAGTGATGGATTTGCTTAGTTTTCACCAAAAAGGAGTGGGGATTCATACATTGGCAGAGCGGGGAACAGAGATTCTGATGGTCCTACTCACCGCACTGGGGATTCTTGGGGACAGCAGGGAGGAAGGCATGGAAGCCAAGGCTGACCACAGGCCCTTTGTAGCTGATAAGTTTTGGAAACTGATTGAAGGATAATGATCATTCTATTGGCAGCCTACAAATCTTTTTCTTAAATCTTTTCAGCTTCTTCACAAATTGTAAGTAATACACATATTTTCCTACTAATGTTCAGGACCTTCAAGCCCCACCCTCTCTCTTTCCTTCTCTCTCAAACATATATCCCCCTTTCTTCTTCACTGCGTTACTACAACCTCTTCCTTAACATCTGGTCCAGCCACACAGCAGCATATAAGGTGTGAAAACGAAAACCTAAGTCTGATGGTATCATCTTCCAGGTAACACACTGTAGTAGAACCCACAGTCCTTAGTCTCCTCATTGAAAGTGTACCCCACTCCAGCTGGCCCAGCCAATTGGTCTCCTTTCCTGTCACTCCTGAACCAAATACCCATCCTCTGATTTTTACTATTCCCAAAACACACTGTGTCCTTTCCTGTTCATCCTCACTTCTTCTACCTAGCAAATTCTCATTGTCCTTCCACCTGAAGCTTTTCTTGATGCCCCAGGCGAAAGAGTAACTCCCTTTCGCCTGTTACATAGATGTAACATCATCTATGCAACTGTGTACAACTCACCATGTGACCCTAGAATCCATTTTCATATTTGGTCTCTTCCATCCCCCTTTCTGCTTTCCATACCTTATTTCTCTGTTGTCTACACGGGAATTATTCAGAAAATATTTGCTGAGTAGATAGGTGCAATTAACTGTAATTAGCTCCTGTCATTAACTCCTCCATGCCCAGTTATGTCACAACATAAACAACATAATCACTCATTTTTTATTCATTCATTCATTCATTCAAAGAATATTTATTTATTGAGGTCTTGTGATGCAACAGGCACTATAATAGGGACTGTGGTGAAAGAGTTAAAGTCCCAGCCAAATAAGGGCTGGGAAGTGGAGAAGGGAGACAATAACATCATGTAAGTACTATGAAGGTCCCAGGCTTGAGGTCCTGGGCATTAGTGGGTATTTACTTAAAGCAGAGGGAGGTAATGGGGATTGAAAGAGGAGGAGTGGAATCATCATTTTAGAAAAGAAGGCTCTTTGAGGAGGTGACAGATAAGCAGAGACTTCTCTGGATTGAGGAAACTTGGCCAGTTAAAGAAATGAAATGAATTTAAGTGGGGATGGCAAAGAGTATGTGAGGAAAAGGGTACCACGTGCCAAATACCACGATCTCATTTGTAATTTTGCTCCATTCCATATAATTTTCCATACCACAGTCAAAGCCAACCCCTCTCCCAGAAAACTCACAAATAATCCACCCCTCGTCTAGCATAAAATCAAAAAATAATCTTGAAAATGGGCAACCAGCTGGCCTGGGGCTGCTCTGCCTACAGAGTAGCCATTCTTTATTCCTTTACTCTCTTAATAAACTTGCTTTCACTTTACAAAGAAGGAGGAGGAGGAGGAGGAGGGAGGAGGGAGGAGGAGGGGGAGGAGGGAGGGAGGAGGAAGGGGGAGGAGGGAGGGGAGGGTGGAGGAGGAAGAGGGAGGAAGAGGGAGGGGGAGGAGGGGGAGAGGGGAGGAGGGGGAGAGGGGAGGAGGGGGAGAGGGGAGGAGGGGGAGAGGGGAGGAGGAGGAGGGGGAGGAGGGGGAGGAGGGGGAGGGGAGAGAGGGAGGAGGGGGAGGGGGAGAGAGGAGGAGGATGAGAGGGAGAGGGGAGGAGGGGGGATGGGGAGAGAGGAGGAGGATGAGAGGGAGAGGGGAGGAGGGGGGATGGGGGAGGGGGAGAGGAGAGGAGGAGGGGAGGGGGAGGAGGAGGAGAATAAAACAAACAAGGTAATTTTTAAAAGTCAGATAGGAAAACCAGTTAGGATCCTAACATATGAAAATAAAACAGTTCTGTGCTTCAAATACCCAAAGGATGCACACATCACTTTAAATTATTTGGACTGGATAGTGGTCGCCCATCAGAACCCTTCACTTTATGTGACCATTGAGAGTCTTCATCCATGAAGTGGCAGACAGGACTATGTGCCCATTCATGTATTCAACATTTATTGGATATCATCTTCTGTGTGTCAAAGACTATACCAAACCCTGAGGATGTCAAGGAGTGTCAGACAAAGTTTCTGTCCTCAAAGAACTCCCACTTTCCCCATGGGAAACCAATAGGTATTTATGGGAAGTAAAATAATTTAAGCCTTTCAGAAATTTTCCTCTACTAGAAAAGTGTTTCTCAAACTTCAAAGTGTGTGTGAATCCTCTGGAGATCTTGCTGAAATGCAGATTCTGCTCCAATGAGTCTGAGGTGATGCCTGAGACTCTGCATTTCTACCAAGCCCCCAGATGGTGCCAAAATTAAGGAATCAGACTTTTAAGGAGCAAAGCTCTCCCTGTTCAACAGAGATATAATACAAGGCGCACGAGTAATTTTATTTTTTCTAGTAGCCACATTTTTAAAAAGCAATGTAAGGTGAAATTAATTTTAATAATATATTTTAACCCAATAGATAGTAAAAATGACTATTTCAATATGTTATCATATGAAAAAATGATGAATGAGACATAGATATTGAGTGAGACTTTTTGGTGCTAAGTTATCAGACTTTTGGGAGTATACTTTATACTTGCAGCACAGAGCAATTTGGACTAATCACTTTTAATTACTCAATAGCCTCAGGAGGCTCGTGGCTGCCGGATTGAAAGATGCAGCCCTAGACCCTCTGCCAGCTTGCTAACTAAAGCCCCTCACCACGCTGAATAGTAAAAGTTTACTATACCCCAATGGAACAGAGCTGAGACACTGAGAAAATGAATAACAGAATAAGGTTTTTTCCCCTCAAAACATTCTGTTTTGCTGCCTTCTTTCTCACAAAACTATCCAATTTCAAAATATTACCAACTCGTATTTCTTTGCAAAGGGTAATCTCGCCTTCTTATTTTGTACCCTCTGTCTCTAAACTATAAGAAAGTGAGCTCACATAATGGGAATAAATGAAAAGAAAATCAGCAAATCTATTCCTGGGCAATTTTCAGATAACCAAGAGGAAGTGGTGTAATCGAGGCTGAGATAACAATTTTAGACTCTGAATAAAGATGAGCCAATCCATCTGCATTCCCTCATCTGCATCAAACTACAGATTTCTCTGGAAATTGTTATATTATAATATGCTGGGAATAAAAAATAATACATCTGTGCTATAATGATACGTAATATATACAGTATAATAATAAAGTATTTGGGTTGGGTTTGAGAAATTTACTACACACAGAAACGGCAGTCACTTGGGAGAAGTGTGTAATCGCATCAGGAAAATTGCAGACAGATGCTGTGCACCCGCCCCCATCAATCTATCAGCTGATTTCACTTAGGGATGTTTGCAACTGTGGTGCAGACCTGCCGGCTGGCTCACTTGTATCCCACGCTACTAGCTCCTTTGCCCCTAGATCTCCCTGGTAAAATTAGCACTGCCAGGAGGAAAGCATTAACTGATTCCCTCAAGCTTCAGGAGTTCTCATGAAAGCTCCTGACACCTCAAGGCCAGATCACTTCTGTTTGGCTGTTCATGGCCAAGTCTCAAGCAATCTCCTTCCAGAGCTCCTGCCCTAAGCACTACCTCAATGGAGCCCACGCGGTACAGCAATCTAGACACATCACCAAAATGAGATGGGAAGGGGACCGTGACATGCTCCACGAAGACTCATTCAACACATCCCACCCTGTTATACTTTATTACATTTCACTAGGTTTAGACATATTATAAAGCACTAAGAGATAACAATCTTGAAGAAAGAGAAAGCTATTGATTTAATTCAGAAAACTTTGAAATACATTCTAGTGAATAATTTTGCTCTCAGGTCAGATATGTTTCTTGCTCTGCTCTTTCCCACATTATTTGCCTGAAAAAAAGTATTAGAACAGGAGAAAGATCCAAAATCCTTGAGGAAGCAGGCTCTGGGCTCCGGGACAGAGTTTCCTCTAGAAGCAAAGTATCTGCTCTTGCAGCACTGCAGCGGGCTGAAGTGGGTCAATTTTGTTGCAGGATGCCCTTACACGTCAGCGAAGAACGGCAGGGAAAAGGTAAGAGGAGTGAAACAATGTGAACTCACGTGCAATGAAATGTTTTATTATTTTTATTTTTATTTTTTTGAGATGGAGTCTCACTCCGTTGCCCAGGCTGGCATACCGTGGTGCAATCCCAGCTCACTGCAACCTCTACTTCCCAGATGCAAGAGATTCTCCTGCCTCAGCCTCCCGAGTAGCTGGGATTACAGGCGCCGCCACCATGCCCGACTAATTTTTGCATTTTTAGTAAAGGTGGGGTTTCACCATGTTTGTCAGGCTGGTCTTGAACTCCCGACCTTCAGTAACCCACCTGTCTCAGCCTCCCAAAGTGCTGGGATTCCAGGTGTGAGCCACTGCGCCCGGCCCAGTGAAATACTTAAGATAAGCAATTAGGATTTTTTTTTTTTTTTTTTTTTTTTTTTTACATACTGAATGCTTACTCTCTTCAGTGCAGCATCTCTCAGGAATCTTGGGCTTCCCCCAAACCCTTTCCAGCTCCGGCTATTTAAGACAGCTGACATCTAGACAGCAGAAAAACCACCACATGAGAACAGCACAATGAAGAAATGACAGTCCTGAGCCATAAGGACCAATAACATAGAAGGTGAAAATGTAAGAGTCTGAAGCTGAAAAACAGATGTCACCAGCTGACACCAGAGCAGAGCTGTTCAAAATGGAAACCGTGTCAGGAAATTTCTATAGCTAGGTTACTTGCTTTGAGAGGTGGATTGTTTTACTCTCACGAAGCTTAGCATAGTTCAGGTCGTTTGTGCAGTTCTGGAGGTGTTCAAGGAATGGGGGAAGTCAGCAAAAGGGAAGTGGCCTTGCTGCTTTGTTACTCCACAAACAGAATTAAGAACTGTTATGGGCTTATGTTAATTTAAATAGAGCTATTATATTTTAAAATTAAGGCTGAGCTGCTGGTTTCTGGTAGGAAATGGAAGGAGGGAGGAAGGAAAGAAATCAGAGAAAAATAAAAAGAAAGAGAATAATAATAATTATTATTATTATTGTTACTGTTGCCACTGTTCACTCAAAATGACTACAGCGGTGGCCTGCCAGTTCTCCACTTACATAGCCTGACAAGGGTATTTCAGATTTCCAGTTGCTGGGCAACCGGCCTTTTACGTTTAAGCCGTTTAAATGTATTCACCTTTAGAATTAGGTATATTTACAGATGACTGGGCAACAAGAAAGAGCCCCTGGCAGGCCAAGAACTCCTAGGATGTGTGGAATCAACAGAGTGTGTGGGGAGCAGGTCTGGTCAGAGAGCCTGACGGAGAATATTAGTGACACATTTAGGCCTGAAAATGGGAAATTGAGATCTGCATACAAAGTCTTTTGCTGCTTGCAAACAGTCTCAAAGACTTATTTCTGGCCCCTTCGTTTCAAAGTTTACTTCTGCCATCCTAAAACCTTCCTGCGGGTCTGTGTGGCATACCAGCAGTGGCCTGAGACAATGGCTTAAAGATGTGTCAACCCTGCACAGGGGCATGTCCCCCACTCCCCTGCCCCCCATCCCCTGGGACTGATGTGGGGAAGGTACCCTGCATTGCCACCCTTCTAGTCAACTCTTCTGGAAATGTGGCAGGGCGGTGGGGGAGTCCCACAAGACATCTACATCACAGAGGTACCTGGCACCCAGAGCGTTACTAAGTCCCATCATTCCCACCTCCTAAATACCTTTTGGATATTTTCCGTCCTCTCCATTCCTATTTCTTCCAAATATTCAGCGGCTCCCCATTGGCCTCAAGATAAAATCAAGACTTCTTATTGAGGCACAAGGCCCTTCATGATCTGCCTTCCCAATGGGGAGATGTTCACCCCATGCCACAGACCCCCACCTGCACCCCCACAGTACAATTTGGTTCAATATGCTCTGTTCTGCTCCTGATCTTTGCACAGGCCCCTCCTTCTGCAGGAAAGCCCTCTCACGCCCTCTCTTCTTGACCAGCTCCCTTGGACTTCTGGTTACGTCGTGTTTCACCCATTCTGGGATTTCCTTCTTTCCTCCTTTAGAGACTGAATTAAGTTCTCCTGTGCCTGTTCTCCTATGCTGTCTGGCCCTAATTTCTACCATAGCATGGGTCATTTCAGTCTATCCTGCCTTGTACTTCTAGATTTTTCTATCTGTCTTGAGCCAGAACAAGCCTCAAGGCAGGGAAGACACACAGGGTCCTTTACCCCTAAGTTTCCAGTCTTCCTGGAGCCAACACACTTTGTAAGATTCAGAAAAATATTTGAGACCTGAAAAAAAAAGTGTATCAGCTCCAAAACATGAAAAGAAACTATTAAATTGAAATAAACATTTAATTGTCCAAAAAATAGAATATTATGTCAACTTCATTAATTGTTAAATTTAGTATTCATAAGAATGTCATTGACTTTGAAAGCAATTTGTAGGTAAGATTTCCACACTTCACAAGAATTCCCAATTACAGACAATGATGGCAAAAGAGTCACTCATAAATTAAATATCATCCATAGCCAAATAGTTGTAAAAGCAAACATGAAACTTTTTCAAATTCAGTGACAAAAAGGATATTTAATGTGGGTTGTGATTGCATTTTATTATGTTTAATATGCTATATGATGGGCCCTCCAATTCTTAAAGTACCTCAGGCCTAAAAAGGATTTTAAAAGGCCCCTGAGTATATGTGTTTAATTCAATTTTGTTTCCCCAGTAATTAGAAACAAGCACAGTGACTGGTACACACACACACACACACACACACTTTATAAGTAATGTGGATTAGAACAACAAAGAGTAGTGAGTAGGATATCACCCTGTCTGAGAATAAGGCAGGCATTAAAGGCAAGAATTTAAAAAGTTCTGCTGTGTAGCCATTAAGAGATGTGGCTCCAAAGAGGATTCAAATGAGAATGAGTAGCTTTCAAAGGACACAATTTGAAAGTTGGAGCCAAATAAAACAGATTTTTAAGCCAAGCATGTGCATAAATGGCCTTGTAAATGAACGGGAAGTTAATGGAAATACTTCTTTTTTCTTGCAGGGTTTAGAGACAGAGAGAAAGACAAACACCAAAGAAGCAGAGAGAATGACACAGACGGATGAATATGCCATAGGGAGGGAGTGAGGGAGGGGAAAGGGACGGAGGAAGAAGGAAGGAAGCGAGGAAGGGACGGAGGAGAAAAGAAAGGAAAGAAGAAAAGAAGGAAGGGAACAAGGAAGGGAGGGAGGGAGGAAAAAAGGAAGGAAAGGGCCGGGCTCAGGTGGCGCACGCCTGTAATCCCAGCTACTCAGGAGGCTGAGGCAGGAGAATCACTTGAACCCGGGAGGCAGAGGTTGCAGTGAGCCGAGATTGCACCACTGTCCTCCAGCCTGGGCGACACAGTGGGACTCTGTCTCAAAAAGAAAAAGAAAAAAAAAAAAAGGAAGGAAGGAAGGAAGAAAGGGAGGGAGGGAGGCAGGCAGGCAGGGGAGGGAATGAGAGAGGGAGGAAGGGAACTCTGGGTCCAGAATATCTGTCTGTGTGACCAAAGTTGTCTATCATGTGAGAATTTTTTGGTCGTCAGTTTTTCCTGAGCAGTATATAGATTTAAAAGTCCCCGGGAAGTCATTTAATACAAGCCTAACGACATCCCTCTAGTGCCTTGGTTTAAAACAATCCCCTAGACCATGCCAAAGGATTGTGCCAGAGATAGGCCTTACAGATTGCATGTAAATGAATATTTTACAAATCAAGTCATCATTTAAATTTACTTTGAAAGCCCTCAATTTTGAAGCACCCTGCTATGAATCTTTCTGAAAAGTTAAGAGTTCTCACAGTTGTTTTTTAAGTGAGACACAGCTACATGGTTAAGATTGGACTGCTCCACTGCAAAGCCCTTGAAACCAGCTCTGAAACTCTGTAGAGAAGGGCAAATAAGCTGTGTTGAGATCACTATGTCCTGTGTCAGTGAGCAGGCTGGACTTGGGTCAGAATCTCGACTCTGCCCACTCTCTATGGCTAGTCATTGAAGTACCCTGAGCTTCACAGCTTTACTTACAAAACTGGGGAAAACAATAGTCCCTATCTCATGGGGTTGTTGTCAAAATTAAATATGATAATGCATGTAAAGCATTTTGCAAAGTACATGGCACACATCAATTGCCCAATCAATGTAATTAGTTAAGTTGTATAATTACTGGCATTATTATTAAGGAAAATTATATTATTATTATTCAAACTGTACTCAATCAAATGAATGAGTGAATACATTATTGGTATGGCCATATCTAGTTTGAATGAGAACCACTCAAATTTGACTTTAAAAAGTTTTCTGTAAAACATAAAAATTTAGAAAGATGGAAATAATGAAGAGTGGATATTATCGTATTAATTTATGTAATAATATTATCATATTCTGTTCCATGTGGGTAAGGCAGTATCCTTCATGGTTAAGAACAAGGGTTTTTTCAGGTAGTCAGAGGGACTGAAATCTAAACTAAAGTGACCGGCCAGGCACGGTGGCTCATGCTGGTAATCCTAGCACTTTGAGAGGCTGAGGCAGGTGGATCATCAGAAGTGAGGAGTTCAAGACCAGCCTGACCAACACGGTGAAACCCCACCTTTACTAAAAATACAAAAATCAGCTGTGCATGGTTGTGGGTGCCTGTAGTCCCAGCCACTCGGGAGGCTGAGGCAGGAGAATTGCTTTACCTAAGGAGGTGGAGTTTGCAGTGAGCCAAGATCGCTCCATTGCACTCCAGCCTGGGTGACAAGAGTGAAACTCCATCTCAAAAAAAGAAAAAAAGAAAAAAAAAAAAACTAAAGTGATCAACTATCCTTCTCTGTCAAGAACTGTCCAAGTTTTAGCACTGAAAGCAAGCGTCCAGGTGAACTCCTCCAACCTGGGAAAACTGGGGCAGTTGGTTGCCCTGAACCCTCGCCCTGCCACTGAATTTGTGGCTTGACTTTGCATATGTTACTTACATGTGGCCTCAATTTGTTCAGCTGTGAAATGGGTATAATAATAATAATAATAATCCCATCTCACTGCATTGTAAAAATTAAAGGAGACAGAATAAAGAGCTTAGCCTGAGCCAAATACATAGGAAATGCTCAGTATCACCTATTTGTAAGCCCCTGTGAAATCAGCATAGCTCTCAGAATGGCCCAGTTGGAAGCTGAAGCTACTCAGCACTTACATGAAAAACAGCACTGGATGACCAGGGCTGGCTGAGTGATTGTATTTCCTCTGTTCGGCTGAGGCAAAGGGGTCTCTAGAAGACTGGCCCCTGGAGACAGACCCCCAAAAGAAAGTGGCAAGAGAGGAAGGCCGATGGGAAGGGAAAAAATTTCCACTGACACAGAAATATCTTCTGTGGTAATCAGCATTGACGGGAAAGGGAAATAAAGGGAATTTATGTGACAGTTTAATAGGGTTTTGAGAAATATGATATTATTTTAAAGTTTGCCTGAGTGGGGCAGACAGCACATTAAGGTAACTCCAGCTCTAAAAAGATGACAATACTGCATTTTAAACTCTGAAATTTGCCCCACTCTTTCTTTGCTGTATTATGCAGAGTGTTATATATTTGCATTATACATACATATGTACACACTGTGGTATGACTGTTTTAGATGCTAAGTTGGTCCGTAGGCAAAATGAAGCATGAAGCCCAGGTTTGTAATGCCTGGATGTTACACCAGGACTTAAATTCCCATCCAGATATTACAATCTATTTTTTTCCTACCATTGTTATTTGTTTTAATGGTCTCTCTTCTACCATGGGAAAGAAGAGAGGACCACAGCAGGATATGTATCTTATGAGCATGAGTTTTTATCTTCAGGCAATCATACGAATAATACCTGCTCACGTTATCTCTAGAAGATAAAAACAGAGAAATCAAAGATGACCTCCAAATCACCAGGTCCTTGAATCCCTGGTGTAGGAATGGGCTGGGAATATCTAGCTCCTGGACCTAGTGAGCATGGCAGCCCCCACCTGGACGAGGGCGGCCCTAACCTACTCTACATGGTAACTTAAAGCTGCCTTAGATTAATGTACTAGGAACCACTTACTCTGAGATGTCACTTATATAAAATAAGCTTGTAAATTATAACACAAAATGTAATGAGAGAAGCCTTTGGGACCTGATAAGAAATAATAAAAATGGAGACTTGGAAAAACAGGACTTGTTAGCACTGACCAGGAAAAATTGTGCTCTCATTTTAGGAGTCTGATACTGTTATTTTAGAGCAAAAATGCTGCTAGAGTAGGCAAGGCCAGTCTTCAGGCCGTGAGAACTACCATATCTTCAACAGCCAGCTCCCTCTGCTCTGATTCTGTGCTGAATAAGCTGCCTTCTGCGATGTATTTCAGTGTCCTGAGTGGCTCACCTCAACAAGACTGAGACATGCCATGTGAGTGACTTCTTCTGGTTCTTAGTAAAGGTATGCACATATGTGAGTATATATTTAATTATAAATTAATAGATTTGTGATTTTTAAAATCCATCTCTTGGGGCATTGGTCCATATAATCCAATGCACCCAGATGAATGGATAAAATCAAGTATCTGAGACTGCAAAGTGAAGGCTAGGACTGGGTCCGTGGTGGTTCTGCACCATTAGGCCCAGCCAGAAAAACCTCACCAGCATAATCCTGACTTATAAAGACCTGGCCCACTCTATCTGGCTTTCCCATATAGATAGGATCATAAATTAATATGGTCTAGCTTGGTAGAGTCCCTATAATCTGTTTTGCCCTGTGCCACCATTTGCAAGGTGATTTTGGACAAAAGGGGAATTTAAGAGTTAATAACTATGCAATGAAGCATCAACTTTACCCAAAGATAAGTCTGGCCTTTGCCTTTGGCTACATAGAGGAGACCCCCTGTGCCCCTAGAATGTTCTACCTGATTGGAGTATATTTGTTTGGGTGCTTTGGCACCAGGACTGTCTAACAATGTGACTTAAGATGAGAGCTTGAGCCATGCTCTAGCCCTAGCCGTTCCAAGCTCTGGAGGAACTGGAGACTAAAGGTATTAGCCCAGCCTCTGCAAGGAGAGAGACTGCAGGTCAGCCACATAGGCAGTATGCAATCAAGCCCCAATGCAAACTCCATACAAGGACTGGATGAGCTTCCCTGGTTGGGAATACTTTACACCTGTTATCACACATCATGGCAGTGAGGAAGTAATGCCAACCAGGATTCCACAGGAAGAAAAGGAGCAGAATCTCTGCATTTCAATTCCTCCTGGACTCTGTCCTATGCATCTCTTTCTTTGCCTAGCTCTAATTTGAATTCTTTCCCTGTAATAAATTATCACTGAGTGTAATAACTTTCAGTGAGATGTGCAGTGATCCAGCAAATCATGGAAACTAAGGGTGATTCTGGGAAGTTCCCAAACTTGCAGTTAGTACAGAGTGAGGGCAGTTTTGCAGAAACTGTTCAGACTTTGAAATTTGGGTAAAAATATATCCCTAACACTGACCTTCTTCTCATCTAGCTGACAATTGTCTCTGATTCTGACATCAGTGGCATCCTTCTGACATCTTTCTCCTTTGTCCCATTGAGTCTCTAACTTGTCAGGAAGGCTTAAAACACATACCATATTCTCAGCTAAAACCTTGGCACCTCTCTAGCATAATTCTGCTCTCCATATGCTCACATAGCCATAAACTATATTAGATAAATGCCTACTCAGATCCAACTTGATTTAAGACACACCAACTTGTCCATAGCAGTTTGGCTGCCTGGCTCACCAGACTCTGAGAATGTGAATGCGTCAAATAGGACTCCACCCTTCCTTTCCCAACATGAGCCCTGCCTAGCCATTGGCAGTGGCCCAAAAGTGGCATTTCTTTATGGCATTCTTTCACTTCTCCTTCACCCATGGCTCCCACACCTTGGTCTTCTACCCTTTGCCAAAACTCAGTAAACTATAAAGTAACTGAACACAGAAGCAGCAGCAGTGCAAAGTACAGATTTTTAGGGCCAGCTAAGGGCTACACAAGAGACTGTGTTTCTTCCCTGCATGTACTTGCTCATGTGGTCAGCACAGCCGAGTACCTTTTTTGCATCAGGTACCATGAAAGACACTAGGGATGGATTAGTGAAAAGGCCAACATGACATGAGAACAGAAGAATTCAAGGAGTTTAATATGATGCTACAAATCAAGATCATGAGTTCTGTACCTGACATGGTTTGGCTCTGTGTCCCCTCCCAAATCTCATCTTGAACTGTAATCCCCATGATCCCCATGCGTTGAGGGAGGGACCTGGTGGGGGGGTGACTGGATCATGGGGGCAGTCTCCCCCATGCTGTTCTCATGATAGTGAGTGAGTTCTTACAAGATCTGGTGTTTTTATAAATGTTTGGAAATTCCTCCTTCATGCTTCTCTTTCCTGCCGACTTGTGAAGAAGGTGCCTGCTTTCCCTTCTGCCATGATTGTAAGTGTCCTGAGGCCTTGCCAGCCGAGTGGAAATGTGAGTCAATTAAACCTCTTTTCTTTATAAATTACTTAGCCTTAGGCAGTGTGAGAATGGCTAATACAGCACCTTTCAAAGCAAACCCATGCCCAAATATCATCTTACCAGGGGTCAGATAGGCTGCCTTGGGTCTGACCAAAAGTCAAGGGAAGAGTTGAACCCAAGTGGCTGAGTAGAGAAGGAGTGTGACAGATTCCACAAAGGGAAACCAAGAATCTGTAGCTTTAGGACCAGACAACAAATTAAGACACATTTACTATGTATCCATCATTGACTAAGCACTGTGGTTGTTTTGACCCAAATTATCCTCAAGACAGCTCATGATGAATGTGCTACTGTAAGCACCATTTCACAAATCAGAATACTGAGGCTGGGAATAGTTAAGTGACTGGCTCAAGATAATATGGAAAAAACGTCCTAAAGGCTGGGTTCTAAAGCAGGCAGTCTGGCTCCTGTGTGCCACATTCTTAACTAAGCCCTGCTACATTTCCAAAGAAATAGTTTCATGAGAGATACCCATGGAGCAAATCAGGAGCTAAAAGCAGAGTCAAGGACTCTGAGGTTCTCCTTTTGGCCAGATAGATGCATGAGGCAAGTGTTTGACTGATGATCCTCAATTTATGGGTTTTAGATAGACAACCTAGCTCACTCCATTCCACAGACTGTGCTCTAACTCCAATCATTGTTGTCATGGCCAGAGGGACTGGGATGGGAAAGCAGATAAATCAAAATGATCCATCACCAGCAGTGTATACACAAGACAAGTCACATGCCCCAAAGAAGGTGCTGCCTGGTTCTCATCATCTCCTTCATATGGTCTTCCTATTACTTTTATGACATTTAGATAAATGCAAGCATTAAAGTCAAACATGCAGACCTGTAGGGCAGTCATTAAGATGCATCCATGAAACATAAAATAACACTTATCTTCATAGGCTTTGTAATAAATCCACAGACGTTTCCTCACTAAGATACAAATCTTATTTGGCTCCAAGTATCAATGGATACCATTAAGTATTTACATGCTTAATTGGAGAGACCTGCGGATTAGAATTTAGAAAAGCTGAGTTATATTTCTGGCTTTGTTTCTAACAATTGCTGGGACCTTCACCAAGTCAAGTAAACACTCTAGACTTGAGTTTCTGTCTAAATATGCAACCAAGTCGGACTTAGGTAAGAAACCCACAGGAATTCCTCACCTGCTAACCTCTGTATGACGGTCAACTTTCATTCATACAGCTATGCCACAGGACCTTGTCTAGGGCAGGGGGTAGTGAATTATCAGTTAGTAATAGCTACTATACAGCAAGCCCTGTATTTAGCATTTTACACACATAATTTTACTTAAACCTCACCATAATAAAGCAAAGGGGTTTTATAGGTTTCATTTTAAGTAAAATATAAATGGCTACAGATGTTAATTATGCTCAAGGAGAAACTCCTTGTAAATAGCACAAGAACTTGAACCCAGACCGAATGTGAGACTTAACCCCTGGTCTTTCCAGCATGCTGTGCTTTGCCTACAGCTTTTCCTCTGTTACCTTTGTCTTTGTCCAAGGGGCTCTTGACCTTGTTATCCCCACAATCTCCACCTGAATCTTCAATTTTCTTTGCTTGGTTCTCTGATCTGGATTCTCACTCTGGTGCCTGCTCTCCCTGGACTCCTGGCCACTGGCCTGCCTAGTGTACCTTCTCCTCAGATCTGCTAAAAGACTTAGATTTCATCTCTGACACATAGAACTTTCTAAAACCCTCATCCAATACAGCCAAGCTCCCAGTCCTGGCCTTTAGAGCAAGCCTTCTATGATTCCCATGCCCTCCACCATGCTAAGCCATTACTATTCTGTCCCTGCTCATGCCCCAGCATGTCAAGGTGATTTCTCTGCCCATGAGAGCAGAGCTTCTAAGTGTTGAAAGGGTGCCAAGACTTCTTCCGGGGGAAAGTAATTAATCACATTATAAGAGGCACACACTCTAGAAGAAAATTGCATATAAAAAGTCAGACTAGAGAATTTCAAGCAAAATATCACCAACCTTTTCCTAAGGATATGTTGATTAAACCACAAGGAGTTAATTAGGTGAGGGTCAATGAGGTATATTTGTAAAGGTAATGACCCATTAGGCTGCATGCTATTTGAAGGGGATGTGGGACTAGTTTCAAAACTTCCTGTTGCTTTGACCATTTCATTACGTGCCAGAAACTATAAACAAAAAGAAAGAAAAGAAAAGAAGAAAAGGAGGGGTTACAGGGTTAGATCAGTTCTTCCCAGCACTTTAAAATTTACTCTTCTGGAATCCAAATTTCATCCTTAGCACCCAGTAACAGCTGGATTCCCTGGTCTGTAGGGGCAGCAAGGGTGGGAGGGACCTCTTCCTCACTATAACTACCTTGATACCTTCTGCTCAGAGCCCTATAGGCCCTACCCCTTGTCTTCTTAATTTTTCCAGAGAAGCCTTTGTAGCATCTGGAATCTAGCCAGCCAGGCTGGCGTGAGACAGAGAGCAACCTCCCCGATGGAAACAGTTTCTCAGGTATTGGTCCCAGGTGACATTGTAGAGGTAGCCAGGAAAACTACGACCATAAGAGAAAAAAACCAAAAGTCTGTATTCCAAATCGGAATGAACTATATAAGCATATATTTGCATTTATGCAAACATGTGCATATGTATGAATGGAGAGAAATAGAGAATGAATGAGAGAGAAAAAGTGGCAGGTAAAAAGACAGAAAGGAAGACAGATAAGACACTCAAATAAAAGACACCAAGGGAGGAAATGATGGGTAGAATGAATGGGAGGAGGGAAGGAGGGAAAGAAGGGAAAACAATCTACATTTGACCTTAAGACAGATGAGACACTCAAATAAAAGACACCAAGGGGGGAAATGATGAGTAGGATGAATGGGAGGAGGGAAGGAGGGAAAGAAGGGGAAACAATCTACATTTGACCTTAACTTATGTTACATTTGAGGCCAAGACTAAGCCAACCAAATGGGTGCTACTCTTGGCTGAATTGGGACATTCTCATTCCAAATCCTGGAAAAGCACAACATGGAGTCTGCACAGAACTCATATGCACTTCATGCCCAGGCATGCTGATGAAGGCAAGGGTCTGTCCTATCCACCATCTCTGCCTGGCCCCAGGCCACATTATACCAGGATGAAAAGCCCAGCAGCTATGGGTCCATTAGCACTGCACTTTCGGGGAAATGCTGGGAGGGTGGGGAGGCAAAGGAGCATAAGAAATGTCTGAGGGATGCCAGGTACCCCCGCCCCAGATGGAAGTGGCCACTGCCGGGAGTGCAGGCAGATGCTGCTCTGACAGTGGCTCTGCACACCTCACCTCCCCCCTACAAGCAGCCACTCTCTACTACGTTACCACAGCCAACCAAAATTGTGCCAAAACACATTACAAAGGGTGGAAAGAGGCAGCGTTGTTGCCTTAGCCTTTCCCCTCACCACACCACCCCTTTGTGCGTCTCTCACCCTCATAAAAATATTTTCTATGAAGGGAAAGATAACACATTTCTGCACACGGTGTTGGAAACTGGGACACACACATAAATGGTCTTGACCCCAAAACCTCACATTCTCAGCCGGGGTGAGGTATGGGAGTCCACACACACATAATAATGACGTATAATAGTAGATAATGATTGTGATGTGTAGTAGTAAAAACTTATGTATATGTGTGTATGTTATTTATATCCTATATATGCAATGTGATAAATATTACATATGTATAACTATATATAATAAAAACATATGATATATATGAAGTACATGCAGAGGACAGGCTGTGAGCCAAGACTTGAGGGGTGGAAGAAAAGGCACTCCAGGCAGAGCTCTTCATGCACAAAATTATGCAGGCAGCTCACTCCAATCTCATGTCCAACTCCACCATTTCCTTCAAACTGACTTTGCTCCAGGCCCCAATGACCGCCATTGCTTTTATTCCTGTGAACTCCTTTCAAATCTCTTTGTTCTTTGCCTACCAGCTGCACGAAGCACAACTTAATTTTTTAAAAAAACACTCTTTTCTCCAGATTTGCAGGTACTTACACACCTCATTTTCCTCTTACCTCTTCAGCTAGCCCCTTCTCCAAGTCTGTACTGGACTGTGCTGCCATTCCTCTCTTCCTGAACCTGGGCTTTCTTTGCTCACACCAGTCAATGCCTAAGTGATCTTAACCATTTTCAGGCTTTATATATCATCTGAATGCTGATGATTCTCAAAGTCAGGTCTATAGCTTGAGCACTGCTCTGAACCCCAGACCCATAGACCCAAGAGCCTTCACATGCTTCACATGCAGAGGCACTATGTGTAGGTGCCTTCTGTGATCACTTTGGCACTCAAGTCTGTGAACACTTACTGCACACCTACTATGCACAAGTCTCTTACATGGAACAGGGCATATACAGATCCCTTCCCTCAAATAGTTTACTGCTAGTGGAAAGAGGAGTGGAAGGAGGAGAAAGGATTAAACAAGGTCATGGATAATGCTACGGTAAGAAAGATGGAGATGTGCCATGAGAGCAGATAAGTAGAGGCAAAGTAGTATAGATCAGCTCAGGTTAGATATCACAGGCTGTGCTTTGGGCAGGTATCACCTGTCCTGGCGTTAAAGAATAGAAACAGGCCAGGCACAGTGGCTCACGCCTGTAATCCCAGAACTTTGGGAGGCTGAGGTGGGTGGATCACCTGAGGTCAGGAGTTCAAGACCAGCCTGGCCACATGGTGAAACCCGGTCTCTACAAGCATTAGCCAGTCATGATGGCGGGTGCCTGTAATCCCGGCTACTCAGGAGGCTGAGGCAGAAAAATCACTTGAACCCGGGAGGTGGAGGTTGCAGTGAGCCGAGATCATGCCATTGCACTCCAGCCTGGGTGACAGAGTGAGATTCTGTCTAAAGAAAAAAAAAAAAAAAAAAGGAATAGAGACAGTGGGAATGAGGCTTACTAGGTAGCTGCAGATGTAAATCCTCACTCCAAGACACATGATTTACCCAGAGTGGCTAATACTGGTTTAATGGGCAGAAAATTTTTTCTAATTACTGATTTAGCTACACCTCATATGTTTTTATATGTAATGTTTTCATTGTCCTTCAGTTCAAGACATTTTTAAATTCTAGGGTGATTTCTTAATGAAAAATCAAGTTTCTAAATATTTTTTATGATAGAGATGGAAGTAAATTGCTCTCTGCTCATAAAACCGGTGATTGATTTTTTAAATTGCTGATAATTTTTCTTCTGTGACCCGGAATATGGTTAGATTTTGTAAATCCAGTTGTTGGGTGTGAAATTCTATATATGCCAATTAGAAATATTTGTTTAAATCATCCATTTTATAGGTTTGTTCCTACCTCCTTGTAATTCTGTTTTTGTTCTGTTGGTAGGGGCTTGATAGATCACATGATTGTATTTTTTATTATACAGTAGCCCTTGTTATCCCTATCATTAGATTTTCCATAATTTTTTTCTCATTTAATATTAATATTACTGCACAAGCTTGTTTGGTGTTTATATCTGCAAACCTTCTCTGAGGGTCATCTTAAGTATGTCTCTTGTTAGCAGAGATGGAGATCGATTTCATTTTTCTCAAACTGTTAATTTTAGCCAAAAATAATTTACTTTAACCCAATTATTTTTATTGGTATTACTGGTTACATACACACACTCATTTTAACCAACTGATTTTGTGTTTATCAGTCTGTTTTTGTTCCTTTCCCCCTCTACTTTCCAGTCATGCTTAAGTTGATGGAGTTTAATATATTCTACTCTTTATCTATTAGTGTCAATCAAATTATAGATTTTATGTCTTGACTTTAGTGGTTTTCTTTAGCCTATAACCATTCTGAACAAAATTTATGTATTTACAATGCATCTGCACTCCCCAAAATATGACAAAAATTTTAACATATTTTAAGTACCCATTAAATTCAGTCTTCCATATTGGCATTGCTATCTCGAGTTTGCTTTATCAAATTAAACAATGAATTAGTTTTTGTAGCCAGTCCTTTCTGTAATTTCTCATAAAATGTATCAATTTCTATATTCATCATCATTCCTCATATAACATGCCTGTCATCTCTTGTTTATTATTCTTCTTGCTGAAGTGCATCCATTAATTGTTCCCTTATTGAGGGTCTTGTTGGTAGACTTTCTTCATCTTCAGTGACTGAAAACTTCCACTTTTAACTTCATTCTTTTAAAAGACATTGTGCCTTGTTGCTCATCCCTTTCTTTCAGTCTAACTGTTGTCTCTTTGAAAGTCATCTGTTTTTCTCCCAGGCGCAGATTCTCAAATTTTCTTTTTATCCTCTTGTTCTGCTAATTAAATATGATGTTTCTAAGTGTGGGTTAATCTTTATTTCTTTTGTTTGATATTCAGAATACACTTTTGAAAGACAAATCTTTCCTCTATTTTACAAAAATTTCAGCTATTACATCTTATAATACTGTTTCTCCACCATTCCCTTCATTCTCTTCTGGAAGTTCTATCAGATAAAAATGTGCGAGCCTCTCAGTATATCCTCATGTCTACTAACTGTGCTTACAGAAATATTTTATCCCATTCCTCTTGTGCTGCCTCTGAGCAGATTTCTTTCACTTCATTAATTCCTTCTTTAACTGTGTCTAGGATTAAATTTATCCCATTTACTTTTTTGAATAAACTATACTTTTTTCATTTACAAGATTTCAAACTAGTTAATTCTCACACTTCTTAATTGACATTATTTCTTCATTTGTCACTTTGAGCATCCTAAATGTAGTAACTTTAAAATCTTCATATAAAATTTTTATATATTTGATGTCATATAGAGTGAATTTGTGGTTTTCTTACTGGCTTTGTTGGCTGTCTTTCTCATGACATATTTTGGAAGTTTTATTTGTTATAGGGTCATGTTGAAAGTGGGTTTTCCATGGTTGTTGTTTATGTTTATCTCTCTCCCTCCGTCTGTGAATATCGTACCTATCTAGTGGTGCTGTTTTTGTCTTCCCTCACCTTCAGACCCCCAGTCCAGAAATATTAGGGAGCTCTTTACCCATGGTGATATTAGGGCTATGGCATCTTGGTGCTATTCCTGGATGCATCTTTATCCTCCTGACTTTGTAGGTCCATTGATTCTGAAAAAACAAATCCCGAAGTCGTGAATCAGCACTTATTTATTTTTTTCAGTGTACTTTTCTTTGTGGGAGGGGAACCAAACCCAGCTCCAGACTCTGACATCAAATAGTGAGCCTGACTCTAGAACCCTAACCCATGTTTATTAGTTTTAGCAGAAATAGCCTAGGAGTAAAATGCTAGCTACCACGTCTCCTTCTAGTCTTAGAGCCCAGCAAGCCACTGACTTAAGTCTTCCTCAACATTTCAAATTTCTGGTCTATTTGTGGTCCATGATAACTTATTTCTGGACTTATGTTCTTTTCATGTGTTTAAATTATATTTTATCTACCAACGTCATCTGTTTGGACGACAAGGAAAGTATCCTAAAAGCCTCTTTTTCTGAGATCACACTTGTAAATATGGGAGGAGGCAGCTGAGCTTCACATACTACGGATTACATATCTTAGTTTTTCCTGCCTTCCTCCCTACCATGCATCTCTTTTCTTCTGGTAAAAGAAACTTTTTTTTTTTCAGTTAACAATTGCTTCCCTACTTTCAGCCCATGTGGTTCAGGCAAGTATGATCCCTAGGTTTTGGGCACAGGAAACTTGCATATTATATCATCATTCCTCCCACCACCACCACCACCCTGCCCCCAGCAGACTGACTGGTAAAAACTGGCACAAAAATCAGTCTCCTAAGAGGTAGCTCTAGGACTTGTATTTGACCTAATAGGAAAGATGCTTCATGCAATTCCCTTCATATTAGAATTGCTAATTAGTAACATATAAACTTGTATCTCTAGGAATAAACTAGACTGTCTATTAGAATTCCCTGACAAAATACATTCCACACAGAGGGGAGCATGGCAAAAGACTAAATTCTGAGGGCATTGTTTAGTTTTTGGATAAAACCATGCTTAAAGATTCCATTCTCCCAAACTTTTGATTTACATGAGCCCATAGATTTTTCTACTTCGTTGAAACCATTTTCAATTGGGTTTTGTCACTTGGTTCTAAACAGTTCTTAACTAATGGTCAGGCTTCCATGAAATTAAATGAAATTAAAAGACACATATTCACACATGCAGACACATTATCTCAGATTTGGTGAAAAGTTTTAGCTGACCCAAGTCGGCCCGCCCCCAGAAGATAGACTGAATATGAGACATATTTCTAAGCATGGTCCACAAGCCCGGGTGTCGCAGAGTATGGGGTCAAGGCGAACACCTTATTGCTGGAACAAAGGCAATCACTTAGCTGAGCCTCATCTTATTTTACACATGGACAAGAAAGACAGTAAAGGAACCTTTTTCCCCCCAAGATCATATAGTTTGTTTCGACAGAGCTGAGACTGCACCTCTGAGGCAGAAGTAATTCCAGGATTTGGGAGTCTGGACATCTCCTGAATGCTTCTGGCATAACTTGTTTGGGGAATGTAAAGAAATATGATGGGAAACATCCTTCCAAAGAGTAGTTCAGAGACTGAACAAATAAGAACGGGCAAGATGTCTGGGAGAGACGGGTGATGCCAGGATAGATGCACATCTAACTGAACAATTTAATGTGGAGGCAGCAGAGTAGGTGATTAAGAGTATTGATCCTGGCTGCATTGGAATCCTGGCTTTACCACTTGCTGGTAACTTGAGTCATTGACAATTAACCTCTCTTTGCCTCAGTTTTCTCAACCATAAAATGAGGATTAAAAATAGGATCAGCATCATATAGGATATGATGACCATTAAATGAATTAATATGTAGAGATCTCTGAAATGTTGCCTCACTCAAAGGAAGCTCTTTAAGGGTCTTCATTAAATAAGTACTACTTTGTTCCTCTCTAGCCTTAACCAAATTCTGGTGTGTTAACTTAAAAGGTCAGTTTTCAGCCATTGTCTCAGACTCCTCAAGTCTTCCTTAATTTAAGAAATGGAGCTGAATGAAGAATGTAGGGGAGGATTGTGTTACAGCCTTTTCTAGATAAATTTCTTGGTGACAACCACAGATTAAACCAGAAAAAAACACATTTAATAAAGAACCTGAGCAAGTTTATGAAAATATTTGCTGCCAGGCCTGGGGACACAAAGGGCTAAAGGAATATCAGGTGCCTTTCTTCACTATCTGCACAGAATCCACTCTGCTTTGATTCAAGTTTCTCAGGAGGAAAAAAAGATTTTTTTCCAACAAATTATGAAAAGGCACTACAATCAGAGTCTTCCATTATCACAGGGATAAAATATCAATTTTTGTCAGGATAAAACGAAGCACAGATTGGCCCTGACAGGGAAAATTAAATTCCTAGCCTCCATTTGATTTGATATTTATCACTCCCTTACCCCAGAAATGTTCTGTCACAAAACATTTTAAAAAATGTATTCATCACACACCAAACAAGCTTAAAGGTTCTTAGAAAGCAGAACTAAAAAGTAATGGGTGTGATTGAGAAAAAAATCAATGGTTTGAGTGAGAAAAAGGGCTAAAAAATAAGAAATATGAATAATTTCAGGCAGCTCTGTAAAGAGATAAATGGGTATAGAGAGAGAATGTAAGAATAGGTTTCACATAAGAGGCAAAAATTCAATTACCCACTCTCCGAGACAGGGCTAGCAAATGGTAAATTTCAATTTATTTTTCCAAACAGTTGTTGAGACAGTTGCACCCCTCCATCTTGGGTAACAAAGACATGGAGATCTACAGCAAGCAGTCAAGTGCCCATCACTTCCTCATTGTCAGTTTCTCCCAACCAAAATGTTAGGATCAGAAGAATTCAGATAACTCAAAATTAGTTCTTCCAGATGAACTTCTCTGTAGAAAAATTTCAGACTACTACACATGGACTTGAATAGCTTAGATGAATCTCTTCTGACTAATGTAGGAGATCAAAACTAGGCCATTAATTCTAATTAATCCAATTTTAAAACATTTTCCTTCTGTCTGGACATTGCTGTGACACTTTTTCAGTTACTACTGCTTGTCTTTTGTGGAAATAGACTTTTCTTTTCCTCAGCAGGGCAGTTCTGGAGATGTAAATAAATCAATTATATATATGTGTGTGTGTATATATATATGTGTATATATATGTGTGTATATATATGTGTGTGTATATATATATGTGTGTGTATATATATATGTGTGTGTGTATATATATATATATATATATATATATATATGTGTGACATATAAATCAATGCGGCTCCTGCAGGCTGTCTAAACACTAATGCAAGAAGTAATAATCATAAAAGCATGAAAGGTGCATTGTAAGGAATTAGGACAAGTTCTGATATTTAGTTAAAGTGCTACTAGCCAATTTAATTCAAATGAAGACCCTACCAGGTTGTAGGTAAGGTGCTTTTCTAAGTAACTTAAAGCATAAAAAAAGGGATTGAAACACAGTTTCTGTCTCTATGGAGATAAAAAATATTAAAACTGAGATGCTAAGGGCACACATTGTTATAAGAAATAAATACAGTTGTATATCAATATTACAAAGTAAATAATGTAGGATTTCAAATATGGGGCAGGGGTCAGTAAAGAGTCTGTAGGAAAGAAAATATTTTCTAACACAACATGTGTAGAAAAACATTCCAATCAGTGGGAGGTGGGGCAGCAGTCAATGGTGGACGCATTAAAATTCCAGATTAAAGCTTCATGTGGTACGAGTAGGTGATAAGCCAATAAAACACCAAAATGGTAGCAGGATCTGGAATCCCCTCACATAGGCTCAAATGCTTACTAACTCTCTGACTATAGCACATAATTAATGTAACTATCAAATTATAATAACAGTACCTACTTCATTGGGTTATTAAAATCACTTAGCACAATGCCTGGCCCACAGTGAGTTCGCATTCATGTTCACTATTATTAATGGCTGTTATTCATGGTGGTTAAAGTATGTGGAGAGCTGGGTCCTACATTGTGGAGGATCCTGAATTTCACACTGTATTTAATTTTTTCAGTAAGGGAAGCTAAGTGATGGCGTCTGAAGAAAAGAATGATTATTCCAGAGTATGGAAGTTATGATGGAAAAGAACAGAGACTTTGTGTATAGAGATTATGGGTAAGAAGGGGTCAGAGGAGAGATAATAGGCATCACACTAAAATAGAGATGGGGGAATAGAAAAGCAGGATGCTCACCTGAAAGAAATTATAGGTAGAATATAAAAGCTGGGCACTGATTATGGAGTAAGAGAAAGAATCAACTCTGATTACTAAATTTTGAGCCTGAATAGTGTGGATAATGGTGATATAAGGAAGAGCAAGTCAAGAGGGAGCAGGAAGAGCTGAGTGGGGCAGGGGGAGGGTTATCAACTGGGTTTTCACCATGCTGGCTCTGAGGTATTTAGGAGAACCAAGGAGAGCTCTCGAGCAGGCATTTGGAAATATGAATCAGGGATTTGGGAGACAAGTCAGGCCTAAATTAATGAATTTGAGAGCCATTTGCATACAGGTTTATAGCTGAAACAGAGTAATCATAAACATTCCTGAGATACAGAGAAAGAAGAAAAATAGGTGAATATTGTTTCCTGGGGAAACTACTGTTAGAAATATGAGAGGGAATAGAAAGGAAATCAGTATGATCCTGCCATGGAGGTCAAGGGAAGAGAGGGCTTCCAGAAGGTGAGGAAATGTATCATCCATACAAAAGGGTCATGAAGAATTCAAGTGGGGACAAGGACTGAGAAAATGCTGCTTGTTTTGACAAGGAAGAGATCCTAGAGAGGCTTATAATCATGAGAAATTTTTTAAACCAGAAAGTTACAAAGAATATGGGAACAAACCTCTAAGTACCCACCACTCAGTAAAATGATGATGAAAGAGTAGTATGTCTAAATGACACCAGTAAGATAGCAGAACAGGAGGTGCCCAGTTTGCATCTGCCCACACAAAAATTGATCTGGCAATCATTCCCCGCAGACAAAAGTGCCTTTGTAGGAGCTTTAGGATCCAGATACGAGATTGAAAAACACTGGCAACGCTCATAACCAAGGAGATCCCCTTTGAGAAAGCAGGCCTTTGTCCCAGTGGCAGTCTTACCAAGCCTGGCCACAGCTGCAGACCAAAGAAGCCCCATTCCCCTGTAGACTCAGCTCCAGCCTCACTTGGCCACCATCCTGCAACCAGCCTGATGTGCCAAGAAACTCTGGAGAAGCCACACCTGTCCATGCCCCAGGTATTAAGCCCTTGGTTAAACTGCAAATCCTGAGGCAGTCCTGTGACTCATTTCTAGCTCCAAGCTTCATCCTGCCAGTCCAGAAGCAGTCCTGCCCACCCAGGGAACTGGGTGAAGGCAGGAAACACATCCACCTCAACTCTTGGTAGCAATCCACCTGACTTTGGTCCCTACTGCAGATCTTGAAGTAGCTCTGTGACTCAGCTCTAGCCCTGCCCTACCACAGTCCAGAGTCAGCCCTGCCTGCCTGGGAACCCAGTGACTCACATCCATGCTTCTTGTGGCAGGCCCTCCCACCTCAGTCTCAGCTATGGAGACTTAAGCAGACCTGAGATTCTGTTTCAGTCCTGCTCTGCTGCAGTCCAGGGCCAGTACTCTCTGTCCAGGCATCCAGGAAACATGCCTATCCCTGTCCCCTATAGCAGGCCCTCTGAACTTAGCCGAATTATGGATCCTCAAGCAAACCTATGACTAGGTTTAAGAAATATATATCCTAAGTGAGTCCTTTGAGTTGAAACAAAAGAACATTAATTAGTAACATGAAAATATATGCAAGTATAAAACTCACTGGTAAAAGGTAAGTATATAGTCAAATTCAGAATACTCTAAAATTGCAATGGTGTAATATAAACCAGTTTAACTCTACTATCGAAGTTAAAAGACAAAAGTATTAAAAATAACTAGATATAATAATTTGTTAACGGATAAAAATATTAAAAGATGTAAACTGGAACTTCAATAACATAAAATGTGTGAGAGAGTAAAAGTATAGTTTTTGTGTGACTGAAGTTATTAGCAGCTAAAAATAGTGTTATAACTGTAAGATAATTTACATACATTTCATGGCAGCCTCTAGTTGATACACAAAAGAGAAAAAGAAAGGACTCAAAGCATACTGTCCCAAAAAATCATCAAATACAAAGGAAGACAGAAGCAAAGAAGAAAGAAAGAAACTACAAAACAGTTGGAAAACAATTAACAAAATGGCAAGACTAAGTCCTTACCTATCAAAAAATGTAAATGGATTAAATTCTCCAATCAAAAGACATAGAATGGCTGAATGAATTTTTTTAAAAAGATGCAACAATATGCTGCCTATAAGAAACTCACTTTAGCTTTAAGGACATACATAGGCTAAAAGTTAAGGGGTAGAAAAAGATATTCCATGTGAAAGTAACCCAAACAGATCAGGGATAGCTATACTTATATCAAACAAAGTAGACTAATACAAAAAATATTGTCAAAAAACACAAATAAAGTTATTATATACAAAAAGATCCATTCAATAGAAAGATAAAACAATTAAAATTACATATGCCCCCAACATCAAAGAACCTAAATATATAAAGTGAACATTGACAGATCTAAATAAGAAAATAGACATCAACACAATAATAGTAGGAGACTTCAATACTCCATTCTCTATAAGGGATATATCTTCTAAACAGAATATCAGTAAGGAAAAAGCAGAACTGAACAGCTCTACGGACTGAATGAACCTAACAGAAATATACAGAACATTCTGCCCAAGAGCAGAATAGAAGACTTTCTTCTCAATTGCACATAGAACATTTTCCAGGATAGATCACAAGTTAAGTCACTAAACAATTCTTAACAAATTCAAGAAGATTGTAATTATTCCAAATATCTTTTATGAACACAATGGAATAAAAATAGAAATCAGTAACAGTAAGAAAATGAGAAAATATATGGAAATTAAACAACATACTCTAACAACCTTTGGGCCAAAAAAATTTTTAAAATGTTAAAAACATTTTGAAATGGACAAAAACAAAAATGCTACATAACAAAATTTATTGGATGCAGGAAAAGCAATACCAAGATATAATTTTGTAGCTATAAATGTCTACATTATAAAAGAAGAAAGATCTCAAATAAATTTTATACCTTTAAGAAATTAGTTTTTAAAAAAGATCAAAATTAGCAGAGGAAAGAAAATAAATATTAGAGCAGAAATAAATCAAATAGAAAATAGAAAAACAATTACAAAATTAACAAAACTGAAAGTTTATTTTTTGAAAAAATATGCAAAATCCATAAACCTTTAGATAGCTTAAGAGAAAGGTGACATTACAGTAGATGTCTCAGAAATAAAAAGGATTACAAGGGACTATTATGGGCAATTGTATACCAACAAAATTGATAAATTCCTAGAAATATACAACCTACCAAAACTAAATTAATAAGAAACAGAAATCCTGAACATACCAATAACAAATAAGGAGATTGAATCAGTAACCAAAAACCTCACCAAAAAGGAAAGAACTGGAGCAGAAGCCTTCAGAGTTGAATTCTACCAAACATTCAAAGAAGAATTAAAACCAGTCTTTCTTAAACTCTGCCAAAAAAGATAAAAGGAGAGCACACATCCAAACTCATTTTATGAGGCTAGCATCACTCTGATACCAAAGAGACAAAAAGGAAAGAAAACTATAAGCAAACATCCCTGATGAACATAGATTTTTAAATCCTCAATACTAGCAAACTGAATTAAAAGGCATATTAAAGGGATCATGCACCATGACCAAGTGGGATTTATCCCTGGGATGCAAGGATGGTTCAACATACACAACTCAATCAATGTGATACACCACATTAACAAAAAAAAAAAAAAAGGAAAAAACCCTACATTATTATATCAGTAGATGCCAAAAAACATTTGACAAAGTTCAATATCCATTCATGATTGAAACTCTCAACAAAACAACAAAATAGACATACAAGGGGCTTACTTCAACACACTAAAGCCATATATTAAATGCCCACAGATCACATGATAATCAATAGGGAAAGCCAAAAGTGTTCCCTCAAAGATCTGGTACAAGGCAAGGATGTCCACTCTTACCACCTCTATTCAGCATAGTACTGGAAGTCCTATCCACAGCAAATAAGACAAGAAAAATAAATAAATAAATCACATCCAAATCAGAAAGGAAAAAGTAAAATTATGTCTGTTTGCAGATGATATATATGTAGAAAACCCTAAACATTCAGCAAAAAACCTTTTAGTACCAATAGATAAATTCAGTAAAGTTGCATAAAAATATTAGTCACACTTCTCTACACAAAAAAACAAAGTATCTGAAAAGAAAATTAAGAAAGAACCCCACTCATAATAGCAGCAAACAGAATAAAATGTTTAGCAATAAATTTAACCAAAGACTTAAAAGACTTGTATGCTTATTTTATAATTACATATAATTACAAAATATTGGTGAAGGAAATTAAGGAAGATAGAGATTAATAGAAAGACATTTCTTGTTCAAGGATTGTAAGAATTAATACTGTTAAAATGTTCATACTATCCCAGTGATCTGATTCAATGCAATCCTTGTCAAAACCCCAATGACATTTTTTACAAAAATAGAAAAAAAAAATTGTCCTAAAACTGATATGGAACACAAAAGACTGTGAATAGAGAAATCAATCTTAAACAAACAAATGAAAAGTTGGAGGCACTACACTTCTAGGTTTCAAAATATATTACAAAACTACAGTAACAAAAACCACGATAGTGGAATTCAAAAAAAAAAAAAAAAAAAAAAAAGAAAACCAATACTGATAAATAGAATACAACAGAGAGCCCAGAAATAAAACTGAGGAAGTACAGTCAACTGAATTTCAAAAAATGTGCTGAGGACACTAAATGAAGAAAGAACAGTCTCTTCAGAAAATGGTATTGGAAAAACTGGATATCCACATGCTGAAGAATAAAATTGGACACTTATCTAAACCACACATAAAAATCAACTCAAAACAGTTTAAAGACTTAGACACAAGGCATGAATCTAGAAAATACTAGAAGAAACTAAGAGGAAAAGCTTGTTAATATTGGCCTGGGTGATGACTTTTGGATATGACTCTTAAAGCACAGTCAACAAAAGCGAAAATAGACAAGTAGGATTACACCAAACTAAAAATTTTCTAAACAGCAAAGAAAACAATCAATGGAGTAAGCAACCTACAAAATGGAAAAAAAAAATACTTGCAAATCATACATCTGATAAATGGTTAATATTCAAAATATATAAGGAACTCAAATAACTCAAAAGAAAAATTAAAACACAACTTAATTTAAAAATGGGCTAAGGACCTGAATAAACATTTCTCAAGAAAAAACGTACAAACAGCCAACAGGTGTAGGAAAAGATGCTCAGCGTCAATAATCATCAGAAAAATGCAAATTAAAACCACAATGAGATATAACGTCATACCTATTAGAATGGCTATTATTTAAAAAAGATAAATATTAGCAAGGATGTGGAGAAAAGGGACCCCTTGCACACTGCTAGTGGATATGTAAATTGGTAAAGCCATTATGCAAAACAGTACAGAAGTTCCTCAAAAAATTAAAAATAAAACTACCACATAATTCAGCAATCCCACTTCTAGGTATACACTCACAGGAAAGGAAATCAGGATCTCAAAGAGATATCTGCACCCCCATGTTTATTGCAAGATAATTCACAACCGCCAAGATATTGAAACAACCTGAGTGTTCATCTACAGAAAAATGGAAAAAGAAAATGTGTACATATATATAAGAGAATATTATTCAGCCTTAAAATGAGGGAAATCTGCCATTCATGACAGTATGGATGAACCTGAAGGATATTATGTTAAGTAAAATAAGCCAGAGTCAGAATGACAAATACTGCATGATCTTACTTTTATGTGGACTGTAAAAATTTCTAACTCATAAAAACCAAAAGTAACATGGTGGTTTTCAGGGAGTAGAGCTTGGGGGAAATGGGGAGATATTGATTAAAGGATGCAAAGGTTCAATTAAGAGAGATGAATAAATTCTGAATACCCACTGTACAGCATGCTGACCATAGTTAATAATACTGAGTTATTAATACATACTTGAAATTTGCTAAAAGAGTTTATCTTAATTGTTCTCACCACAAAAAAATTATAAGTATGTGAGGTGATAGATATATTAATTAGCTTAATTGTGGAAATCATTTCACAATGTATCTGCACATCAAAACATCATGTTGCATACCTCTTAAATATATAGAATTTTTATTTGTCAGGTATACCGCAATAAACGTGAGGGGCAAGAAGAGTCATATGTTAAGAGTTTAAGGCCTGTGCATGAATTGGGGAAGCAGAAATGCCAACTTTTTAATTTTAAAATTGTTCACAAATTATTGCTTCATGGAAAGATTCAGATTGGAAATACAAGGAGTGGCAGAGTTAAGGGAACATTATTTTAGTAAAGAAGCACGCTATGTTAAAGCAAAGAAAGTGCCCTGGAGAAGATATTAGAAAGGTAAAGGAGGGAAGTAGATAACTTTATGAGTAAATCAGACAGGAAATGAAAAAGAGAGGACTGAATCCAGGAAGGTAAGTTAGACTTTGCTAACCACAAGGCCCTTTTTTACCCTACATAGAAATAAAAGCTTAGATGGAGAGTAGAAATCAAAGGCAAATAGGAAAGAATAAAATAAAGAAGTTCAGGTGGAGTCATTTTAATTTTGATAGAAACAGTGAATTTTAATATCTGGGTTATCAAGCACAAGCCCACTCCAATGTTGCGCCAATTCTATAATTCTCTGTACAGCATCCTGGCAAATGATCATTCAGTTTTGACTTAATTACCTCAGAAGACATAGAATTCATTATCACACAAATTAGCTAATTCCATTTTAGATTCTTCTAACTGGAAGAAAATTCTTTCTTATCCTAGGTTGAAATCTGTTTTCCTGTTGCTACTACTCTTTAATCCTTCATCAGCCCTCTAGGACCACAGGGATTTAAGTAAATCCCTCTTTTACATACATGACTCCCTGTTAGGTGAAGATAACAATCATGTTCCAACTGAGTTACTTAGTCCACGTTAAAATATTCTGAGTCCTCAAATGTTCTTTCATTCACGAATAAGCTCTACGCTGGTAGTGCCAATGTTTGCCCAACAAAAACAACAAAACCGGAAACAAGGTTATTCTCAGGCAACATGGGAATAGAATTGTTTTAGAACTTGAGAAAAATGGAGAGTATTTGCATCAATTGGTACGTATGTTGCTTACTGTGTAATGTTGGACAATTCTGGTACCCTTGTGGGACTCAGCTGACTCAAATGTAAAATGAGAATCTGCATCGCCTTGCTTCTCCAGCATCCTCCACAGAAGAGCTACAGAGCAAATTGCCGGGGATATCACCAAAAGGAATACCTCCTCGTTTGCCCATGGTAAAGACAGCCTTAACTCTTGCTCTAACTCAAAAAACTTGTCTCAGGAACTGTAGCCCTGCTTCTTACTTCCTTCCAGTACAATTCTCAGGGTAAAAAGACTCAGAAGATCATCAAACACATGGGATGCAGCATGGGATCTGTGCTGAGTCCATCTGATCCACTCTAAGACATCTGCTTGGATTCTAGCCTAAGACCAGCAAGCTTGCCTCTCATTTCCTCTCAGCTTTGGAAAAAAACAAGGCCACCCTTATTATTTCTCAGCATATAAACTCAAGGTCTGGACATTAGTTGATCTTCCAAGAAGGTATTTAACTCCCTTAGCTATTTTTTTTCATTTTCCCTATTCTCTGACACATGCGCGTGCGTGCGGGCGCACGCGCACACACACACACACACACACGTCTATCTTCGTAGATATAAATCCAAATAGCTTTTTCTAAGTTATTCTACTTACAATAAAGTCTTAGGCCTTTCTCTGGGTTAACTCTAAGCCATTCTATTTTTAACCTCTTTGATTTTATTCCCATCAGTCTCTATTTCTCACTTCCATTTCCATTACCCCTTCCCAGCCTCAACAAATGGCCTCTCCCTCTGCTATGTGCTTCCTGTCAATCCAGCTCTTGCTTACCATAAATTAGCATTTTCCAGTATCCACACTCAGATTTAAAACGCAGAAGATAGCTCTGTTGACTACATAAGGAGTGCACACATACTGCCCAACTGCCTAGGGGGACTGTCCATCCCAGTCTGGTGCTGAAAAGAAGACAGGCAAGCAGAGTGGTGGCTCCCATGAGTGCATCATTAAATTCTTATAATCAGGATGTTTGCAAAGAATGAAGCAGGAGCTGTTTTCTCTGGGTAAAATCATGAGTGAGCTTTCAAAACATGGGGAAGCACAAATAAGAAAAACCTCCAAGAGATGTCACTGTGAGAAAAGGATAGGCCCAGTGTTGATAAGAAACCAAAGCCTCATGCCCCCCTTCACCTGCTGTTCCCCAGTCCATAGAAAGTGGGCATCTCAGTGTTTCAGCAGGACCAATTCTGTTGTATTCTTAACACATTATAAAATTGCTTTGAAAATGGCAACTATATATCTGCATGTATATATACTAGAGACACATAAACACAGATACATACATATAATATTGGCTGGAAGATTTGTCAAGTTTGGCAAAAGCTTGGGTGAAGGCTGAAGATGGGTTTGAATTTCTGACAAAATATAGGAGCCAGCAGCCCTCAAAAGCAGATAGTATGATAATTTCACACATGGAATCTCTTTTTTAATTTATCATGGAAGAAGTTTAAAATGATCAAAATGCATCATGCTTCCAGACCAATCCTTGGTGGTGTGTGCCAGAAGCAATTGACCATAAAGCTATGTATACCTGACCGATGAACCATTTATTTACTCTAATATGTTATATGGTGTATGATACTTTTCCTGAAATATCTGCGTATGTTCCCACACTAAAGAAGAACATATATACCTTTATGTAAACATAAATATGTGAATATGTTAGTTTTCTATTGCTGCCATAACAAATTATGACAAATCTAAAGACTTCAGACAATACCCATGTATCTCACAGGTCTGTACAATAGAAGCCAAACATAGGTTTTACCAAGCAAAAAGTCACCTGGCCTGGGCTCTTATTTGGAGGCTAGGTGGAGAATCTTCTTTGGCCTTATTCAGATTTCTTTTTGCTGTAGAGCTGAAGTCCCCATTCTCTTGCTGGCTGTCAACTAGGTGTCTCTCTCAGCTTCCTGCCTCCATCTTCAAAGTCCACAACAGCACATCAAGTTTGTTTCATGCTTTTAGCCTTTCTGGCTTCCACATCTCTTCTGCCTCCTTTCTACCACGTCTGATTCCAGCCACAAAATGGTCTCTGTTTTTAATGGCTTGTACAATTACATTGGGCTTGCTTTAATAATCCACAATAATCTCCCTATTTTAAGATTTGTAACCTTAATTATACCTACAAAATTCCTTTGCTATGTAAAGTAACCCATTCACAGAATTAAGGGATTAGGGCAAGGACATCTTTGAGAGACCATGATCTGACCTCCACAATGGATATATCATATGAATTCCTTGATATACTAAACTTCAACTGTCATTTCAAAACTATTGGCTGATTATGCAGATCTATGCACATCATGCTAATATGTCTCTCCTCTGTTTTCATATTTTACATGTTTGTAAATCCGCTTAACCTTATTTAATGTTGGTTATCATTCCTAGTGATGTCTTCTACCTCAGCTCCATTCAATCCCTGGTCCTTTTCTGACAATGGCAAAGATTACAGATTTGTGTTACAATCTAACGAACATGAGTAGGCCATGCCAATTGGTCTGTCTCTTATCCAAGACGTTAAAGACTTGTCTTTGATTTTCATCTACTCTCAACAATCCTACCATGAACCATCGAATGCCTTAGCAGCTGACTGCACTGGCCCTCCACTTATATTTGCCTAATAATCAAATGAATTTCTGCTTACCTATGACTACCTGAACCATACCTTGGAGCAATTTTACCTTAACACCCTATGCAGATGCCCCCTCAGGGACCAGCTTCTGGGAGAAAGTATCTGTTGTTCCATGTACAAGGTGTGGGAATACCCATGCTCAAGTATATGGAAGTCATGACAGCCATGCCATTTAGCAGCTGCATCTATGCAGAAGTGCAAATCACCCGCCTCATTAGTGTCCTTCACAGAGCTACATTCTCTGAAATTAAAGTATTGTTCTGTAATATATCAGCACACTGTGTCTTGAGCCATGCATGAAAGAAAAAAGCACCTACTTTTTCAAGGATATATCAAGTTTATTATAACCACACCACTACTCTAGTTTCTTATCGTCCAACATAACTAAATGATTGGGTTCTCATACGACTCTCATCTCTCGGGTGTTTTTTGAGATGTCTGCTCCCTTGTTTCTAATTTTACTCCCATTCTTCCCTAAAAGTCTGGACTCCATTTTTGGGCATTCTCTCTATCAAATCTGTCTGTCCGAAATTGAATTCCAGTAACTCATCCAGATGATAGGTCTTGTGGTTTCCAAGATAAACCTCTTTCATACCTGCATTTCTCTGCTACTTTCATTATTTCCCTTATTCTTCAAATGATTTTATCATAAAATCACACACACTGCAAAATAATTAGAAAATCTTTCTAAATGTGAAGAAATTGGAATGGCATGTATTTCATTCTCCTGGAAAGGCAGGACCTTCCACTTTGGAATCATGATGGGTTTCATTAATGTTCTCCACAGTCCTCTCTTTTCCTTTCATTAGGAAATGAAACTTGACCTAGAGCTGACCTCAGTGGCAGCCCATTAGATACATCCTCGCTATTAAGAATATTGCTTTGTATTGATGGTCCTTGTTTATAGGCATGCAACCAAATTGAAGCTGCAAGACTATCTTGATCCTGGCCAATTTAATTTTGCAAATAGAGTTTTGTGAAACTCTGTCTTACTCTTTTCCTGGCAACAGCCTGAATATTTTCTGATAGCCCAAAGCCAATCCAACTGACTTCCCTCACTCAGCTTTTCTGCAAAGCATGGTATAAAAGCTACAATGGATATATGAATTGTTGGACCAAGGAAAACTAATTGGAAATCACATCTAAACGTTTTGGTCAGCCATCTTTCCATCCTCCTGAGTTTCATATATACTGCAACAGATGCTTTATAAAAATAACAACATACTCCACAAGAAAAGAGATTTTTAATATCATTTCATATCATTGAAACAAAAACTTTTTATTTTTTCTGACATGTAGAACACAATCCAAAGCATGATCCTCTTAAGACTATTAAGCTACTTTCCAACTTAAGAGGTTGTCATAACCTGAGGTCTCTAGAAAATAGAGACACAGAAAAGAAATAAAGTGCTAATCCTTTCTTTGAGAGGCCCAAACCATGGGCCTAAAGAGTAAAGAAAAAGTGGCTGGGCATGGTGGCTCAAGCCTGTAATCCCAGCACTTTGGGAGGCTGAGGCACTCAAGTGAATCACTTGAGGTCAAGAGTTCGAGACCAGCCTGGCCAACATAGTGAAACCCCATCTCTACTAAAAATACAAAAATTAGTCAGGTGCAGTAGTGCACACTTGTAATCCCAGCCCCTCGGGAGACTGCAGCAGGAGAATTGCTTTAACCCGGGAGGCAGAGGTTGCAGTGAGCCGAGATGGTGCCAATGTAATGCGCTCCAGCTTGGACAACAGACCAAGACTCCATTCCAAAAAAAAAAAAAGTAAAGGAAAAGTAACAGGAGACAAGGAAAGATACAAAACCATGAAAGTATTACCAGTTGATTCACAACATTCCATGAGTAGATAGAACAGATCACTCAGCACATGAGTTGCCTACTGACATGTTGCAAAGATCAACCATGATTCCAAGAGGTCAATAAAAGGAAGAAATGGGGAATAATTTCTAACTGTATCTTTCCTGTCTTCTGTTTCTAGTTGGTCAGAGTTCATCTCTCAGAGTATTAAGCCCTTCTCTATATCATAGTTGCTTTAGTGACTCAAGATGCCACAATCCGAACCTTCATTGTGAGGTTCTGTTCAAGTCTAGAAATGGCTGTTAAGAACCAGGAACTCCAGTCTTGCTACTGGCCAGCCTAGCTACTCAGAAACAGCATTAGAGAAGGAGTCTGGCCTTTCCAGAACAAGTGACTGGTCAGCCCCCAGTGTCCGTAATGTTGTTCAGGCATTGGGCAGCACTTCTCACAGGAAGGAGGTAGAATATCTGAGGAGTCCTATAAATCATGTGCCTGCTACACTAGATGTCACACTTTTAATGTAAGTTAAAGGCTCAAAGAACACCCTTGGTCTATGTTTTGTCAAAACTAGGTAAACTGGAAAGGAAGGATATGTGAAAATATTTCTAATGTCATATTTATACAGAAATAAATGGCGTCAGCTTGTAGAGAAGGCAGAAGGTGAACAGAAGGACAGAAAAGAATCCCAAAGTTACTTGTCTCTGGTAGAAATAGATGTAGAAATATATTTTATATTTGATCTTCTGGATGTAAACTTATAAAAAAATTCAGGGTACAAGTATTACCCTGAATATCCACACATGATCAGATTTACAGATGCCACATTACCTAAGTAATGAAAGCTGGGTCTTCCAAAGGCAAGACTTATAGCATCACGTGTGCAAAGGAGTGGCCTTCAACCTTCAATGAAATTTGTTAATTTCAAGAGTTAACAAATTAGTTGACATACCAACACACAATGGTAGAGGAACGCCATGCTTTCTCTTCATGTGGGCTTCTGACATAAATTCTTTGGATAGCAGGTACTATCATTTGAATACCTGTCCCCTCCAAACCCATATTTATGTTTAATTGCTATGGTAACAGTATTAACAGGGGGGACATTCAAGAGGTAATAAGGCCATAAGGACTTTGCCCTCATTAATGGATTAATGCTGTTATCATAGGAGTGGGTTTGTTATAAAAGGACAAATTCAGCCCCCTTTTGCCTCTCTCTTACCTAGTCTTTGTCCTTCCACCATGGGATAATGCAAGAAGAAGACCCTTCTAAGATAATGGTTTCTCTATTTTGGACTTCCCAGCCTCCAGAACTATGAGCCAATAAATTTCTGTTTATTATAAATTACCTAGCCTAGCAGCACAAAACAGACTAAGACAGTAGGTCTGGCATAACTATGCACAAAGTGCTTAGGTCAGACCAGAGAAATTTAAGACAGGCTTTTCCTCACCCTGATTCTGGTCTCTGATACAAAAAGTATTCTCTTGGGTATCACTTAAATGCCCTTATTTTTTAATTTACTTTTTCTTTGAATTGCTCATTGAAAACTCTCCAACGGATTAACACATTTTCCATTAGGGCATAAGCCACCAGGGCATAAATAGTTTCACAGAGAAGCTGCCAGAGTATAAATTCCTAACAGGAGCATAACAAGAGGCTTTGGAATATTCTTCTGGATTACCATGTAATATCCTGACGTGTTTTCCAGACCTTTAGCATTGTCATTCTCTAGCTCTGATAGCCAAACTTCTGAAACTAGCTAACTCAACAGAGTGCCTTGTAGGACTCCTGAGACCATGGCCCATCATTTTCTCTCTAGCCCGTGTCCGTAGATACCACTATTAATGCATTACAGGCAAATCCTGGAGACCAAGCACATGTATAACTTACTACTGCTACTAGAGAAAAACAGCCTATGTATACGGAACAGCAAAGGCGGGTCAGAAACATTGTCTTACACAGAGATGACACCCGACCAGCACATGCTCACTTCATATTATCTTCATATATCTTCTGTTCCAATACAACATGGGCTCATCACCTTTCTTTGATTTGTCAAACAACCACTCAAGACTTCACATCAGCTTGAAAAGCAACATGTTCAGTTGATACATTTTGGGCTTTAATATTAAATCAGAGTCTGTCAATACTGACTGCAGCTCTTTGTGAGATTCTTTTTGTGAGTTTCACCTCCCTCATATTTCCAAATTGAGAATAGCAATTGCCACCTCATAAGGTTGTCCTAAAAATTAAAGAGAAAATGTGAAAACATCCCTGGCACACAGGAGGTGCACAGTGTTAAGCATTACTCCCTCATCCATGATCTGTATTTCCCAGGCAAAACTCATAGCTGCCTCATACAGACATTTATGTCTCCTGGTATGTGACACTTTTATGAACCAGGAGAAGATGCTTCTTCCACTTTTTGCATGGTCAAAAATTAAAAGTTTTGCTTAGTACTTTTGTCAAGGTCTTTATGTTATAAGCTGCTTGATCTTCACAACAATTCTATAAACTAGGTTCACTATTTGCATTTCATTGAAAGGAAAACTGAAGTTCAGAGAGAACATGTGAGTTGCCCAAAGATATATAAATTGAACGCTTCTCTTTCCTTCCAGAGCTCTTTCCAATAGGCCATGCTTCTTCTATGTCTTTTTCACTTCAGAACTTCTTTGCTGAGTTGACAGGATTTACACAGACATCTCAAACTTAAGGAACATCAATCACAACTTGGAAAAGTACAACCTCAAGACCTCAGAATATGCTCTACTGACAGAAGTAAAGACAGGTTCATTGCAACTGGCTTGTGTGCTAACAGTTTTTGTTCATTTATTTAGGAAGCATTTATTGAGTTCCTACTATGTACATATCAATTAACATTAAAGGAATCAAAGAGGCAAACACATGCCTTTCAAGAGTTAACAAATTACTTGACATACCAACACACAAAGTCCCAAAAACTTAAATAACGTATAGGAATCAGGTGAGAAATTGCAAACATAGAAACACCTCAAAGCATACATAATAAAATATTGAGGAGACCTATAGACTTAAGATCTATAGCAGGGTTTTTTAATCTCATCATTCTTAATGTTATGGATCATATAATTCCTTGTTATAGGTGGTTGTCTTGTGCATTGTAGACTGTCTAGCACCATTCCCAGCGTATTAATTTCCTAGGTATTTGTTTCCACATGAATCAAGTGGCTTAAAACAATGGCTTTATATTCTCAGAGTTGTGGAGGCTAGAAGTCCAAAATCAAGATGTTACCAGGCCATATTTCCTCCAAAGTCTCTAAGGAAGAATACTTTCTTGTTTCTTTTAGTCTTTGGTGGTTCTTGGCAACCTTTGGCATGCTTTGGCTTGTAGCAGCCCAATCCCAATCTCTGTATCTGTCTTCACATTGCCATCTTTTCTCTATGTCTGTGTCTCCATGTCCAAAGTTTCCTTGTCTTAAAAGGACAACAGTCTTTGGATTTGGGCCCACCCTGATCCAGTATAACCTCATCTTATCTTGATTACATCTACAGAGACCTCTTCCTCAACATGATCACATTCATAGTTTTCTGAATGGACATGAATTTGGGTGGGAGGGGCACTATTCAACTCAAGATACCTGGCCTTAACCCACTGCAGCATCCTCCTCTCTGCTTTTTTTTTTTTTTTTTTCTTTTGAGACAGTCGCGCTCTGTCACCCAGGCTGAAGTGCAGTGGCTCAATCTCAGCTCTCTGCAATCTCTGCCTCCCAGGTTCAAGTGAGTCTCCTGCCTCAGCCTCCTGAGTAGCTGGGATTACTGGTGTGCACCATCATACCCAGCTAATTGTTACATTTTTAGTAGAGACAGGGTTTCACCATGTTGGTTAAGCTGGTCTCAAACTCCTGACCTCATGATCCGCCCGCCTCAGCCTCCCAAAGTGCTGGAATTACAGGCGTAAGCCACGGCGCCTGGCCCTCCTCCCTATTCTTACCACCAGTGGTGATCATCAAAAGTGTCTCCAGACATTGCCAAAAGTCTCCTGGAGGAAAAATCACCAGTAATTGCGAAGCAGTGCCCTGCAGAGCTCAGAAGAGGGAGATATTTTTGTGAGCTGCATATTCACTAAGGTGAAAACACAGTAGGTAGGGGTCAAGGCGGGGCTGGTTTCTTTGACTTTTCACAATTTGCTTCTCCCTTTCATTTTTCTTTCCCCTTTGTTGCTATTTATTTCTTCTGTTTTTTATTTCCTCCTTTTATTTTCTTATTCTTGCTGCCTCTTCTTTTCTCTCCCACTTCTCGGCAAGTTCCTTTCCCCTTCCTTAAGAAGATGCTGTGGACTAGCAACAGGAGGAAAGCCAGCATGGAAAGCATCAGATTCCAGCTGGGAGGTGAAAGAGAAGTAGGGGTGAATTGGAAACGCATGGGGACACAACAGATTCACTCCTTCCCTGTCACCTTGTGAAGAATGGCTCTTACCCAGCCTTTTCTCATTCAATAGTTTATTAAATTAAAGCAATGAGAAAAAAAGAAGAAGAAATGTAAAAGGAATTATGAAGTCTTGAGGAAAATTACATTTTTTAAGGTTAAGTAGCATGACAATGGCAGCTGATAGAGCAAATTAAATTCTAACTGCACCAGTGATTTGATAGATATCATTTTGCTAAGTGTTACTAAGAAAATGTCTTCTTGGGGATATGAAGCTCAAATTCAGAATGAACTCTTGTCAGTTGTGGCATTTCATTCAATTAGGTGAAATTCATTAATATAAAGAGGAAAAGGGTCAGATGGAAAACTGAAATTTGTAAAACATATTCAGAGCATTTTATAGAAAATATACATGCAACATCTTCAGGAAGGCATATATTTACTTAATTCAGAACCAAAAAGAAAGGAAAATATTTCACCTCTGTATCAGTGAGCAATTATAGCTGTGGCTAGAAAAAGTTCATTTCTTGCGACATTTGAAATGCTTGCATAAAATAGGCTTTGTCTCTGTGAACCCAAAACAAAGCTTGCCAATGACTCACCCATTGCAGGAAAACATGCTCAGTCTACTAGGACGTAACCCTGTTGTTACAGGTAGCAAGATAAATCTAGCAATGACTATAATTACTTTGGGCCAATCCTGCACATCATGAATTTTGAACACCAAAGACAATTGCCACCTGGGACTTTCTAGTAACCATCTAGTTATCCTTTAAAAAGTTAGTAAGATGGGTGTTGTAAAATGCTCTTCATGAAATATTTATCATCCATTTAGTAGATCACTTCTCCTAAGGCATTCATGCAGGGCTAGCTAAAAGAGTTACAAAATCTTACTTTGCCTAGATGAAAGCAAGTCTGCCTCATTAGTAATCAATTACCATCCAGGTCAGCCCTAACAAGTCATTAATATATACCTTTTACTGTCAAATCCAGTAATTGGGCACCACATATTCAATAAACCGTCAGATGCTATTATTAATAAAGCCCTCAAAGCTCCACCAGGATCCATATTGTGTAAACGAAGCATCAGATGGGGTAATTTTTCATAGCCTTCCAAGTTGACCTACAACAGATCAACACAAAACAGCCAGTGCTTGGACCCAAAGGCAGAGTCTTGCTGTATGGCACATTGTGGGCATGGATTCTCAAAGCTTCCAACAGAGGTATACAAGCACAAGCTTCTTCCTGTGGATGTTAAGCTATGACTAATTACAAAAGGTCCATTTTTCAGAAGTTCCTGATTCCTCCTCTTCAATGTGTAAGATTTCCAGGTCAGCAGTGCTGCTATTCACTTGACCATAAAGAATGAGCTTTCACTTGACCATAAAGAATGAGCTTGGCCGGGCGTGGTGGCTCACACCTGTAATCCCAGCACTTTGGGAGGCCGAGGTGGTAGGATCATGAGGTCAGGAGATCGAGACCATCCTGGCTAACATGGTGAAACCCTGTCTCTACTAAAAAACACAAAAAATATTAGCCAGGCATGGTGGCGGGCGCCTGTAGTCCCAGTTACTCGGGAGGCTGAGGCAGGAGAATGCCATGAACCCAGGAGGCACAGCTTGCAGTGAGCCGAGATCACGCCACTGCACCCCAGCCTGGGCAACAGAGCGAGACTTCATCTCAAAAAAAAAAGAAAAAGAAAAGAAAAGAAAGAATGAGCTTATATCCTATATCAACTAAGTACTTTTTAAAAGGAGGAGCTATGGGCTGGGCACAGTGGCTCGTGCCTTATAATCCCAGCACTTTGGGAGGCCGAGATGGGCAGATCACAAGGTCAGGAGTTCAAGATCAGCCTGGCCAACGTGGTGAAACCCCGTCTCTACTAAAAATACAAAAATTAGCTGGGTATGGTGGCACACGCCTGTAATCCCAGCTATTCGGGAGGCTGAGGCAGGAGAATCATTTGAATCCAGGAGGCAGTGGTTGCAGTGAGCCGAGATCACGCCATTACACTCCAGCCTGGGCAACAAGAGTGAAACTCCATCTCAAAAAAAAAAAAGGAAGAGCTGTGTATGTCTAGTCAAAAGAAAAGAGAGAATTGATGAAAGAAATTATAGCAGCCAAAAATCAGCAAGAAGAAGGCCAAGGAGTAAGGATGGTAAATAACTCTCTCTCTTCAACCTATTAAAATGCCAATGACCCTGATCCAGAGAATCTTCAGGATTTTTCCTAATGCAAGATTTTATGTATTCATGCATTCACTCACTGAAGATGGATGATCTATCCATCTATTCATTCTGTCACTTAACAAATATTTATTGACCAATCAATTGTCAAGCCCTCAATTGGGAAAAAACTTACTAGAAAAATGGCCCAACATCTTCAACTTTTAGAAAAAGTTAGAGATTTCAGAAGCTGCTCTCCCTATACCTGCCTTTCCCCTGCAACTCCTGGTCATCCTTCAAGTCTCAGTGTAAATGTCACTTCCACAGAAAAGCCTCCCTTGACTGCTTCCTTACAGTTAGAGGTACTTCTTTGAACATTTACTATTAGTTAAGTAATTACTTTCAAACTTTCTTTAATGTCTATGTTCATACGAAAATAAATTTCTGTTGTGTTCACGACAGTATTCTTTGTGCCTAGCACAGTGCCTGGAACATAGTAGGTGCATAATTAATGTTGCTCGCTGATGCACTATTGGTGCCACAAACTGTGGGAGGTTAAACACCAGGGGGATGGCTTAGCAGCAGCAGAGTCTCCTGAAAAAGAGCACAGAGCCAAGGCATTTGAATAATAGTTATAGCTTTACTTTCCATTAAAAAAAAAAAGTCTTGTCTAAATGTTCTCTCTCTCTCCTAAACGCATGTTTCCTGCAGGTAAAATAAGATGGTTAATATAAAGCTCAAGCAGACCAGTAGAGGCAGTGTAAAGAACTTTTGACATGATTTGTTTATTGTCTTCTTTGTTCCCTGCTGCTCCCCAGAGTCTAAAACGGTGCCTGAAAAAGAAGAGGTGCTCAATTAATATGCTTTAAACAAATGAATAGATTGATTAAATAATTAATTGTAGGAAAATTATGTTCCTCTGTTCACTGATGACATTATATGACTCTGAAAAGGAAAGGAGTCAAGTACAAACAAAGGGCTCTGAACAGGGCATGGCAAATCAAGTTCCCGTCCATGTTTTTCCATTAATTATTATCATTTCTGACAACAATGGGTTCTGGGGCTCCAGAAAGAGCCTACATTTTAGGTAATAAGAACATTAATAGTTAACATTGTGAAACTGCTTATCATGCTGAGCAAGGTGCCTTATTTGCATTATCTGATTTTATAATCAAAATCACATATGGAGGTGTTATTACTATCACTACTTTTAAAATGCATACCCAGAGATGCTCAGAAAATTTGAATGATGTGCTCTAGGTCATACAGCTAACAAGCAGAAGACCTGTGATCCAACCCAGGACCATCAACCTCAGAGCCCTCACTCTTAACTCCTGGACTATGCTGCCTCCTCCTAAAGCTGTGGTGTTGTGAACTCAAGGCTATCCTACATGGCTGCACAGCCAGTACACTGCACAACTCTAGGGGGCTCCATTCACATAGATGTTGATGGGAATGGTGTCCTCTGGATCTTGGCAATGCATAGCACTGCTCAGACTTGAGGGGATAAGACCTCATGACACCAAGCTATTGGCTTCGTGCTTGGCAGAACTTCAATACTCACCTCCCAAAGGAAGCTTTGGAAAAGAACGCTGCTGCCATTCATTGTCTCATCACACTATTCCAGTGATCACTCAGTGTGACAATAACAGTGGTTCTAAGGCCCGTGGTACAATTCTGCTTTTTTGTCCAAATCACCCTGGTACAAGAGCCATGCCCCTCCAGCCCATGCTATGCCCATCAATACACATTTACAATAGATTTCATTCAACTCAAATGGCCCTCCAGTTAATTTACACAGTGCCAAACTGACCTTTCCAAATGTGTCCCACAGCACAGGGAGAGTGAGGGAAATTTACCGCCAGGAAACAAAAATATGCTACCTTGTGAAATATAGGTTTTTTCATGGCTTGATTTGAGCTTCATATCAGAAACTGTGGAGTGATTCAATGATTATTCACCATTTGAGGAAGGGGAAAGGCAGCTCAGAGGCCTTCAGGGGCCATATTTCATAGCCCTATCAGACGTTCATACAGGTGATTAAAAGCCCTGCGAGCAGCGGCAACAGCAGGACCTGCTGGTCACATTCTAGAGAAAGAGATGAATTTCTCTAAAAGGGAAGAAACTTGAGAACCCACAGGCACTGGAAAAGTTGGTACAAATTTCCCCAGTGAATTCATTTAAGAAGAAAAATTTCCCAAGCCTTCCCCTCCTCTCCCAATATTTGTTCTTCCATGAAAATCTATCACGGCCCCTTTAATCCATGTTTTCTGAGCACAAACATGATTTCAATGCTATTTGGATTGAATCCACTCTACCATGAGGCATCTTCCCTGTGAGGAGATGCAGAAGCAAGAATAATTTCCAACCCGACTGGGGCATCATTTCAAGCATTGGCAGGAAACAGCACATGAAACTGGAGAAATCAGCAAGGATAGTACAGGATCCTGGGGCTAGCTGGAAGACCCCTAGCCTCAAGACACAAGGGGAGGGAGCCATTACAGGTACTTAGAAACGACAATGGGATGCAGGGGACCCCACCAAAAGCTGGACTCTTAAGGGGAGGGATTCATAGCCAAGGAGGAAGCTGGGAGAATAAAAACCATGCTGTCACTCTTCCTCCCTTTATCTAATCTTTTGTATTATCTTCCATTGGCCAAACCCAATCAAAGCCATTCCAGCAAAGATGCAGGTCATAAAGATTAGCCTCTCAATTCATAAAATCACTCTCCAGGGCTAGAGAATAGATATGGGATACTGGGGAGGTGGGTAACATGAAAATGTCCAGCACATCAAGAAAAATGTAAAAACCCACCTTTATCCTTGACCCCCAAGACTATGTCTAAGTTAGTGAAGATCATTCATCTGTATATGCCAATCTGAATGGTGTGCAGCAATACAACTACATTTAACTTATACAACCCATTGCCAGTTTGATGTGAGCTTTCTCCTTTGAATTTACAAAATGCTGCTCTCATAGGAAAATCTAAAAATGTTCTAATTACTTTGAACATATTCTTCCTTCTCTACTATACTATAAGCTCCTTTAAGGCAGAAAAACATATTTTCTTAATAATCAACATAAATCTAGTACCTACTTACATCAGGTATTCTATATGTTTGTTATTTCATTTAATCATCATAACAAACATACAGAGGAGGAAATCAAAGCTCCGAGAAGCTTCATTTCACAGCGACACAGTTAGTATGGGGCAGATCGGAGATCTAAAGTCAGGTCTTTCTGACCCTGAAGTCCAAGGTATTCATCATCCTGTCCCTCTGTTTCTTTTAATTTTTGAAATCTGTACAATGCTTAGTAAGGTACCTAATAAACAGCAGGCATCCACATGAGAGTTTGTTGGATGGATGAATGGGTGAATAATATAATCTAATAAAAAAAATATTTAATCTTTATTACTATCCTCTAAGCCAGATTCTCTTTACCTCCTTCATTAATTCATTTCACCATCAGTTATTAGGCCAGCATTTTCTTCATCATCCCAAAAGATAAGAAAGAAGTAGGAAATATAGCCTTGGGTCTCACACAGTGTACAATATTTCTGAGAAAAGCTAGTCCAACATATACAAGTCAAGGAACATAATTGAGTTCATGACCAAATTATATAGGGAAGACCAGAATTTGGCTATCTCCCAAATGTTCATCCTGTAAAAAGCTTAGACAGTGCTCATGAACACATTGAGTACTGGGCAGGCAGAGAAGTAGCAGTAAAAAAAGGATGTTAGATAACAAGCGGAGAAACATACAGAGCAGAAAACAAAATTGAGAAAGCGTTCATCTTCAGAAAGTAGCCTTGATTAGCATGAGAAAACCCTGGGGGAGGAGAACACTAGCCCACTGCTTTTCACAAACCAGTATTTCAGAAAGTAATTACTTATTTTAACATCTGGGTTCACGAAATATTCATATAACCTGAATAATATCTTATTCACTCTGGAAGGACTAGCCTTTTTTGATAAATTTTACAGTAAATTCTAAAATGAAGGTGGTCTTAAAAAAAAGTGTTACTATTAATGTTCCTTCCTCCTTAAAGCAATGACTCAAGTGGCCTACTCACAAGTAACAAGGAAGGACAAAGGACATTTCTGACCAAAATCTCATCAAGGTTCGGGGCCCTCCTGAGTTTGGGCAACTCGATTGGTCTCTAGCTCATAGTTACATTTCTAATCTAACAGGATTGCCTAGATCTTTGTAGTGCCCGAGAATGATACACATGAGGAAAGGGCATGAAATGATAAGTTCTACAATCTGGCAAGAATGAAGACATGAGGAATCTTTAAAAGGCACCTGAGGACTGCCATTTCTGGGAATATATAGTAGATGTACCCTTCCTGAGTCCTCCCACTAAGTACAGCTAAAATCCCTGGTCATTACATAGAACACAAATATAAAAAGTATCTGAAAAGTGAAGAGAAGAAGGTGGACCAGCTCAGAAACTCAGGACCCAAGAATGACCTCAGGGTAGGTTGGTTGTTCTTGTTTTGCCTCCTACATCCTAAACTTGGAGCTGAACAAGTCAGCAACCCAGAAATGCCAATTGTCACAAACAAAAAGACCCCCATAAAAGCCTGCTCTGTCTAGTCAGGAAAAGGGCAGCCTAGCAAGTCAGAAAATTTTTACATAATAACATTCCAGCCAAACACCACACAAAAAACCCAGGGAGACTAGACTTCCACTCTGGACAGGTCCCAATGAAGCACCCTAAGTGGGCCACTTCCCAGCACACAGGTGTGTCAGAAAAGGCCAGGTAGGGAACCTGCAGTGTCAGGGGGAGACCTGGACTTTGCATGTGAGAAGCCTGGACTCCCACGTCCTACCCCAGCAGTAATGAGAAGCCTAGCCCTGCTCCCCACTGGGGTGGTATCAGAGGAGCCCTAGTGAGAGTAGGGACTTTCACCACCTACCAGTAATAATGAGGTGTCAGAAGACACCACGTGAGGAGTAGTGGTCTGCACCTTGCCCTCCCAGTCAGAGTGGTACCAATGCAGGCTTAGTGTGCAGCCAGAATCCTCACCCCCAACCAGAAGCAAGGTAGAGGCCACCTCCTTTGGGGATCATCAGAGGATTAGTGGAAAACCTGGATACGCAATTCTGGCAGTAACCGTGGCATCCCCACCCTTCCTCTACCAGATAGGTATAGAGGAAGCCACTTTGTTTCCTAGGACTACCATAACAAATTACCACCAATTAGTTGGCTTACCTCAACATTAAGTTATTCAGTCACACTTCTGGAGGCCAGAAATCAAAATCAACGTGCTTTCAGGGCCACACCCATTCTGAAGTTGCTAGAGGAAATTTTTCCTCACCTCTTCCAGCTTCTGGAGCCTCCAGATGATCTTTGGCTTGTGACAGCATAGCCCTAATCTTGGGCTCTGCATTCACATGTCCTTCCCTGTGTCTTTTTGTATCCTCTCCTCCATGTTCAAGGACACAAGTCATGGATTTAAGGCCCACACTAAACCTAGGATGACTTCATCTCAAGACCCTTAATTAATTTCATCTGCAAAGCCCCTATTTTCAAATAAGATCATATTCTGAGCTTCTGAATAGACATGAATGGGGGGGGGGCAGTGGAGGCAATATTCAACTCACTACACTAGCTAAAACAGAAGGCTTAAATAAGATCCAAAGTCTCATAATATCATAGCTCAAAATATACAGGTTTCCGTCAAAAAATCACTCATCACACAAAAATAAAAATAAAAAACAGGAAAATTGTCCTGAAAGAGAGCAATCAATAGAAGCTAACACTGAGAAGACAGAGATGTCAGAATTAGCTGACAAAGATTTTAAGCAGTTATCATAAAAATGCTTCAGAAGAAATGAAAATTAAAAAGGTCCTTGGCAAACAAGTAGAATATATAAGGAAGGATGAAATAAAAACTTTTTTTTTTTTTTGAGATGGAGTCCCGCCCTGTCGCCAGGCTGGAGGGCAGTGGCACAATCCCGGCTCACTGCAACCTCTGCCTCCCAGGTTCAAGTGATTCTCCTGCCTCAGCCTCCCGAGTAGCTGGGATTAAGGCATGCGCCACTACGCCCAGCTAATTTTTGTACTTTTAATAGAGACGGGGTTTCATCATGTTGGCCAGGATGGTCTTGATCTCTTGACCTTGTGATCCGCCCACCTCGGCCTCCCAAAGTGCTGGGATTACAGGCATGAGCCACTGCGCCCGGCCGAAATAAAAACTTTAGAACTGAAAAATACAATTACTATAATAAAAAATAATTAACAAATAGGCTAAACAGCAGAATGGAGGGAAAGAAGAATCTGTTACCTTGATGATAGAGCAATAAAAATTACCTAATCTGAACAACAGAAAAAAATTCACTGAAATAAAAGAAGAAATCTCAATGACCTGTGAGACAAAATAGAAGATCGAACATTCATATAATTGGAGTCCCCAAATTAGAGGAGAAAGATGGTGGAGCCAAAAAGGGAACTAAAAGAAATAATGGTTTAAAACTTGCCAAATTTCGCGATAAACAACCTACAGATTCAAGAAGCTGGGCAAACACCAAATAGGATAAGCTCAAAGAAAACTAGAGCAGGACATATTATAATTACATTTTGAAAAATAAAGAAAAAAGTTCTTGAAGACAACAAGAAATGGATAACACCTTACCTATCGGGGAAAAAACTGAATGGTAGTGTATCTCTCATCAAAAACCAGAGGCCAAATGAAGTGGCACAATATTCTTCAAGTGCTGAAAGAAAAGGACTTTCATCCCAGAATTCCGTATCTAGTGAAAATTTCCTTCAAGGATGAAGGATCATAAAGCAATGTATTATCTACCATATTAACAAACTAAAGAAAAATCACACAATCATATTAACGCATAAAAAGCACTGACAAAATTCAACACCCACTTATGATAAAAATTCTCAGAAAAATAGGAACACTTGTAACCCTCTAGTAGAGGGTTACATCCTCAACTTGATAATAATCATCCACAACAAACCTACAGTTAACATGACATATAATGGTGAAAGACTGAGTGCTGTCCTCCTAGCATTGAGAGCAGAGCAAGGAGATCCACTCTCACGACTCTTTTTCAATGGTCCAGGAAGCTCTAGCTTTACGTGGATGACTGAGAACAGTCTCTACACCGGTTTTCCTGGTTCCAGTTTGGGCAGCCCATTCAAACCATTTATCCTGGGAGTCATCCTTGATGACTTTCTTTCTTGCACGTCCTTTGTCCAATCCAATAGCAAAATCTGTTGTTCTGCCTTCAAAATGGGTCCAAAATACAGCCACCCCCCTACCTTTGTGGTTCTGTTCAAAGTTACCACTATGCTTTCCTGGATCAGAGCAAAGGATTCTTCGGGGGTCACTTTATCCCTTCACAGTGCCCTCATAACAGCCAGAGTAATTCCTTTAATAAATAAAACATAACGTATCACTCTTCTACCTCAAGCCACCAATGGTGCCAAATCACTCAAAGAAAAAGCCAGCATCCCTACAACTGCTACCAGTGTCTGCAGAAACTGCCCTCGTCACCTCTCAGAACTTACCTCTGCCTCTCCACCTTGTTCTCCCCATTCAGCCACCTGACCTCCCTGATTAGGACCCACCAAGCACATTCCTGTCTCGGGGATTTAAAACATGTTGTTTTCAAATGCACTTTTGCAATTGCTATTTTCTTTGCCAAGAAGAGTTCTCCAAGTCTCTCTCCTCCAACTGTTACCTTTCACAGAGACTTCCTGACCTTTTCTCATAATTCAGAGCCCATGTCCCCATGTCCCCTTATCCTCCATTTTGCTATTCTTTCTTCCATTTCCTTTAGAACCATTTCAATTAATCAGTTTATGTGTCCCTTCACTAGATTGCAAACTCAAAGGGCAAGACCTTATCTTTTTTGCTTCCTACTCACCGCATCTCTCCTGACTAGAAGTGTCTGGCATATACCAGACACTTGATAAATATTTGGTAAATGAATGAATTAAAATAATACCCTACATGCATCTTTCTTTTTTATTTTTAAGTGCATTTTTTGTTTGTTTTAAGTTCCAGGGTACATGTGCAAGATGTGCAGGTTTGTTACACAGGTAAACATGTGCCATGGTGATTTGCTGCACTTATCAACCTATCACCTAGGTATTAAACCCAGCATGCATCAGCTTTTTCCCTAATGCTCTCCCCACCCTCCACCCTCCCTCGACAGGCCCCAGTAAGTGTTTTTCCCCTCCCTGTGTCCATGTGCTCTCATTGTTCAGCTCCCACTTATAAGTCGGAACATGTGGTGTTTGGTTTTCTGTTCCTGTGTTAGTTTGCTGAGGATAATGGCTTCCAGCTTCATCCATGTCCCTGCAAAGGATATGATCTCATTCCTTTTTAATAGCTGCATAGTATTCCATGGTGTATATGTACCACATTTTCTTTATCCAGTCTATCATTCATGGGCATTTGAGTTGATTCCATGCCTTTGCTATTGTGAATAGTGCGGCAATGGACATACACATTCTGCATGCATCTTTCTACCTCATTCCTTCCTTCCTTCTTTTCCTTCCTACTTTTTTTTTCTTTTCTAGAACTAATATAAAAAAGCCTACTGGTAATACAAGACAGTGCACTGAATTCTTGCACAACATGAGTGACTAGGTTTGTCTGTTTCCTGCGTAAATCTGTGTATGTAAACAAAATAACACATGAGAATCAAATAGCAACTCAGTTTACAAAAAGTGTACTAGTGTAATTCTGTGCACATTATTAGATAAACATAGGAAAGAAAGAGAGAGGCACTGGGAATACAAATGCTCCCAGGATTTCTAAATTGTTTTGTGTGTCCATCTAATGCTTCAACCTAGAGAGTGATGCTAATTCTTGTCCCCATTCCCGGACAGCCAGAGTCCTTAGGAGTGCTTCCTAACACTCTAGAAATACAGAGTCTTGTGGCCCCTTCACTCATTCAGACAATCTTCCTGTGCTAGAAGACTATCAATACATGAAGAAGTAGATGGCAAGGTAATTTTTACTTAGGTTGGGTATGCAAAGATCATGTGTCATCATAGGAGCTTGCCTCTAGCACCTTTCATTTGTCTCTTTCTTAAGGCAGCAGCCAGTCTGGAACTAACTATCAGAGCTATGAAAAGCCCCCATTAAGTCTCCTCTGTAAGGGATTTAGTGGGATAGGTTTGTGTCCATAAGCAAAAGCCCTGAAAATGGGCAGTGTCTTGCTTGCTATTCCCATCTTGGTATAAATTATGGATCAGAGCTGGAAAGTGTCCAGCCAATCCAGCAACTCTACACTGATGAAACACCCCTCACCCCTCCTCATGCTGATGCCAGCCCTCTGGATAATAAAGGCAATCAAATGCCAACTCTCACGCAACAGTTGTTATTCCAGACAAGTGCCTTGTTCCAGTCTGCCCAAGAAGTAGGGAAGATTATTCACTTAGCTCCAAATGCAATTTATTTTCTGAACTTGTTTGATTCTCTCATGCTTTATGCTTCATAATAAGTTTATATTCTGCTCTACTTGAATCAGCGAAACCTCAGGGGCGTCTCTTGCAAGTTACAGAGAGTGATGACTAGCAACTCAAAACTGAAGCATGTTCAAGACTTGCAGAAACAGAACCCAACCCCATGAGTAAAATGTAAGTCACAGCCTGGAGCAGATGTAGCAAGAATCTGTGGTTTGAGACATCGAATGGGCACCTCTGCTCCGTGCAAACCACTTCCTTGCTGGCCTCAAAGCCTCAGTTAGTCCTAAATGCCTAGGGCACTCTATCACAGGTGGAGGCTGAGTTTTGGCTGCTTCTTCGAATTCTGGATTTCTCCACCCTTTCTTTCTGCCAGACAGGAAGCTAACTTCATGCTTTCTCTCATCTTTGTGTCTAACACCTTCACAATACAGCACATTGGGCTCTTTCAGTGGAAAATAAAAATCACTGTGCGAGAGGGGCTGATTGCTGATGATTGAAGCTTATCGAAATAAAACCAGAACACATGCATGTTCTTATTCAGAGAAGGTAGGTAACCTAGCCAAATTCTCACAGGTAGTAAGTGACAAACCAGGAGTAGAGTGTCCTGAATTTAAGTGCTGTGATCTCCCCTATTTAACACTCTTGAAACTATTCCCTTCTTTCATTTCTTACAGTTTCCTTTTTCTCAACATTCTCCTCTCATAGTTTTCTCCAACTTTCTTATAACAACACCTTATTTTACTCTTGAGTTTTAGAAAACAATAATCAAGGACTGTGTCATTTTATGTATTTTATCTTTGGTTTCTTCCAAGAATTTCCCTCAATATTTGGTGTTCTGCAACTTCACTTTGGTGTGTTCAAGTGCACTTAATCCTATCCTCAACTTAAGGATTTATATCTTTTGTACTTCTGGAAAATTATTAGCCAATATATTTAAGACAGTGCCCTCTTCTTCCTACTCTCTATGCTCTTTCTGAAGCTTCTTCGAACTTCTCAATCTAGGCCAGGCATGGTGGGTCACACCTGTAATCCCAGCACTTTAGGAGGCCAAGGTGGGTGGATCACAAGGTCAAGAGATCGAGACCATCCTGGCCAACACAGTGAAACCCCATCTCTACTAAAAATACAAAAAATTAGCTGGGCGTGGTGGCACATGCCTGTAGTCCCAGCTACTCGGGAGGCTGAGGCAGGAGAATCGCTTGAAACTGGAAGGCGGAGGTTGCAGTGAGCCGAGATCACGCCACTACACTCCAGCCTGGGCAACAAGAGCGAAACTCCGTCTCAAAAAAAAAAAAAATAACTTAATCTACCTTCCATGTCTCTCAGTCTTTCTTCTGTGGTATCCATTTCTTTCTCTAGGTCATAAATTATAGGTTATGGCCCCAAATATGTCCTTCATTTTCTTAAGTTCTTCAACTGTGTCTAAACTGCTGCCTAATTTGTCTACCATGGTTTTAATTTCAATGGATATATCTTTCATTTCTAAAAAATGCCTTTATTTTTCTTAAATATGCCTGTTGATTTTCATAGTTTCTTATTCTGTCTTCATAATTTTTATTGCTTCTTTCATCGTCTTGGTCAATGGCATTATTTCTGAGCTTTCTGTTGTGTTCCATTGGTCTATGTGTCTGTTTTTGTAGTGTACCATGCTATTTTGGTTACTGTAGCCTTATAGTATAGTTAGAAGTTGGGTAATGTGATACCTCCAGGTTTGTTCTTTCTGCTTACGATTGCTTTGGCTATTCGGGCTGTTTTTTGGTTCCATATGAATTTTAGAATAGTTTTTTTTTCTAGTTATGTGAAAAGTGACATTAGTAGTTTGATAGGAATAGCATAGAAAATATAGATTGCTTTAGGCAGTATGGCCATTTTGAAATTGATTCTTCCAATCCATGACCATGGAATATTCATCCATTTGTTTCTGTCATCTATGTTTCTTTTAGCAGTACTTTGCATTTCTCTTGTAGGGATCTTTCACCTCCTTGGTTAGACGTATTCCTAGGTAGTATTTTGTGGCTAATTTAAATTGGATTGTGTTCTTGATTGGGTTCTCAGTTTGAATGTTATTGATGTATAGAAATGCTACTGATTTTTGTACATTGATTTTGTATCCTGAAACTTTACTGAAGTCCTTTATCAGTTCTAGGAGCCTTGTGGTGGAGTCTTTAGGGTTCTCTAGGTATAGAATCAAAAGTGAAGAGAGATAGTTTGACTTCTTTTTTTCCTATTTAGATGTCTTCTTTTTCTTGCCTGAATGCTCTGGCTGGGACTTCCAGTAGTATGTTGAATAGGAGTGGTGAGAGAGGGCATCCTGATCTTGTTCCAGTTCTCAGAAAGAATGCTTTAAGTTTTTGCATGTTTATTATGATGTTGGTTGTGAGTTTGTCATAGATGGCTCTTACTATTTTGAGATATGTTCCTTCAATGACTAATTTCTTTAGAGTTTCATTATGAAAGGATGTTAGATTTACTGAAAGCTTTTTCTGCATCTGTTTAGATGATCATATGGTTTTTGTTTTAAATTTTTATGCAGTGAATCACATTTATTGATTTGCATATGTTGAACCAACCTTGCTTCTCAGGAATGAAGCCTACTTGATCATGGAGAATTAACTTTTGGATGTGCTTCTGGGTTCAGCTTGCTAGCATTTTGTTGAGAATTTTTGTGTCTATGTTTATCAGAGGTATTGACCTGTAGTTTCCTTTTCTCATTGTGTCTTTGCCAGGTTTTGGTATCAAGGTGATGCTGGTTTCATAGAATAAGTTAGGAAGGAGTCCATCTTCTTTGATTTTTTTGGAATAGTTTCAGTAGAATTGAGACCAGCTCTTCTTTGTATGTCTAGTAGAATTCTGCTGTGAATCCATCTGGTTCAGGGATTTTTTTGGTTGATAAGTTTTTCATTACTGATTAATTTTTGGAACTTGTTATTAGTCTTTTCAGGGTTTCAATTTCTTCCTTATACAATCTTGGGAGATAGTGTGTTTCCAGGAATTTATCCAATTTTTTCTAGATTTTCTACTTTGTGGGCACAAAGATGTTTATAATCATCTCAGGATCTTTTGTATTTCTGAGGGATTACTTGTGATGTCACCTTTGTTAGTTCTGAGTGTGCTTATTTGGATCTTATCTCTTTTTCTTTCTTAACCTAGCTAGCAGTCTATCAATCTTGCTTATGCTTTCAAAAAACCAACTTTGGGCTTCATCAATTCTTTGTATGGATTTTGGAGTCTCAATTTTGTTCAGTTCTTTTCTGATTTATTTATTTTCTTCAGCTAGCTTTGGGATTAGATTGTTCTTGTTTTTCTAGTTCCTCTAGGTGTGACATTAGATCATTAATAGGGGATATTTCTAACTTTTTGAGGTAGGTATTTAGCACTATAAACTTTCTTCTTAATCCTGCTTTTGCTATATACCAAAGATTTTGGTATGTGGTATCGGTGTTCATTTATTTCAAAGAACATCTTGATTTCTGCCTTAATTTCATTGTTTACTCAAAACTCATTCAGGAGCAAGTTGTTCAATTTCCATGTAATTGTGTGGTTTTTGAGAGAGCAGAGGATTTTTATTCCACTGTGGTCTGAGAGTATGATTGGTATAATTTCTAGTGTTTTTAATTTATTGAGACTTGCTTTATGGCTGAGCATGTGGTCGATCTTGGAGTATACTCTGTGTGCAGATGAGAATAATGTATATTCTGCAGTTGATGGGTGGAGTATTCTGTAGACATCTATGAGGTCCAATTGGTAATGTGTCAAATTTGAGTCCAGAATTTCTTTTTTTTTTTTTTTTTTTGAGATGGAGTCTCACTCTGTCGCCCAGGCTGGAGTGCAGTGGCGCAATCTTGGCTCACTGCAAGCTCCACCTCCTGGGTTCACGCCATTCTCCTGCCTCAGTCTCCTGAGTAGCTGGGACTACAGGCGCCTGTTGCCACGCCCAGCTAATTTTTTGTATTTTTAGTAGAGACAGGGTTTCACCATGTTAGCCAGGATGGTCTCGATCTCCTGACCTCGTGATCCGCCCACCTCAGCCTCCCAAAGTGCTGGGATTACAGGCGTGAGCCACTGCGCCTGGCCCGGAGTTTGTTAGTTTTCTGCATCAATGATCTAACACTGTCAGTGGGGTGTCAAAGTTCCCTCACTATTATTGTGTAGACATCTAAGTCTTTTCATAGGTTCAGAAGTACTTATTTTATAAATCTAGATGTTCCAATGTTGAGTATTTAAGATAAGTCTTCTTGCTGAATTGAACCCTTTATCATCACATAATGCCCTTTTTTGTCCTTCTTTACTGTTGTTACATTGTTTTATTTAATAAAAGAATAGCAATCCCTGCTTTTTTTTCCCATTTGCATGACAGATTTTTCTCCAGTCCTTTACTTTGAGGCTATGGATGTCATTATGTGTGAGATGAGTCTCTTGAAAACAGCAGATGGATGGGTCTTGGTTTTTTATCCAACTTGCCACACTATGCCTTTTAAGTGGGGCACTTAGACAACTAATGATTACTATTCATCCACTGTGAAGTTGTTAGCCTGTTGCTTTGTAGTTTCTACTGTGTGATTGCTTTATAGGGTCTTTGGGCTATGTGCTTAAGTGTGTTTCTGTATAGCAGGTATAGTTATGTTGTTCCATGTTTAGAACTCACTTAAGGAGCTCTTGTAAGTCTGGTCTGGTGATAACAAATTCCCATAGCACTTGCTATTCTGAAAAACATTTTATTTTTCCTTTGCTTATGAAGTTTAGTTTGGCCAGATATAAAATTCTAGGTTGGCATTTCTTTAACAATGTTGTAAACAGGCCCCCGATCTCTGCTGGCTTGTAAAGTTTCTGCTGTGAAGTCTGCTGTTAGCTTGATAGGGTTCCCTATGTATGCAATCTGACCTTTTTCCCTAGCTGCCTTTAAGGTTTTTTCTTCAGTGTTGACCTTGGACAGTCTGGTGATTATACGCCTTGGTGATTTTCATCATTGTAGCATCTTGCAGGTCTTCTCTGGATTTCTTGTATCTGGAGGCTTACCTCTCTAAGTAAGATTAGGGAAATTTTCTTGAATTATTCCCTCAAGTATGTTTTCCAGGTTGTTGCTTTTTTCTTCTTCTCTCTCAGGAGAGAAGAAGAGAGAAGAGGAGAGAATTATTATCTATGCCAATAATTCATAGATTTGGTCACTTTACATAATTCCATATTTCTCAGACTTTGTTTTTTTTTTTTTTTTTTTGAGATGGAGTCTCACTCTGTCACCCAGGCTGGAGTACAATGGCACGATCTTGGCTCAGTGCAACCTCTGCCTCCTGGGTTCAAGTGATTCTCCTGCCTCAGCCTCCTGAGTAGCTGGGATTACAGGTGCACACCACCATGCCTGGCTAATTTTTGTATTTTTACTAGAGACAGGGTTTCACCATGTTGGTCAGCCTGGTCTCGAACTCCTGACATCATGATCCACCTGCCTTGGCCTCCCAAAGTGCCAGGATTACAGACATGAGCTACCGCATCTTCCCTGCTCATTTTTTTAAATTCTTTTTTCTTTATTTTTGTCTGACTGGGTTAGTTTGAAAGGCTAATCTTCAAGCTCTGAAATTCTTCCAATTCGTCCAGTTATTATAAAGCTTTCAATTGTATTTTGAAATATTTCAATTTTTTTTCCAATTCCAGAAACTCTGATTGATTTCTTTTAAAGATATTTATTTCATCCTTCATTTCCTGGATTGCTTTAGAAGTTTCTTTGATTTTCATCCTTGCCTTGGATTTCATTGAGCTTCTTTGCAATCCATATTTTGAATTCTTTATCTGTCATTCCTGAGTTTCCATTTTGGTTAGAGACCATTGCTGGAGAGCTAGCGAGATCCTTTGGTGGTATCACTACATTCAGATTTTTCATGGTGTCAGAATTATTGCACTGTTTCCTTCTCATCTGGGGATGCTGGCACTTCTAATTTGTGTAATTATTTTCACGTAAGTGGAATTTTTTCTTTATCTTTCCTTATAGTTTTTTTCTTTCCCTTTCCCCTCTTCCCTACGGAATGTGACCGTAGAAAATGCTAGGCAGAGTTTTTGGGTTTGCCAAAAATAGCCCTATTTCTTTGCCAAAAATAGCCCTATTATGCACATCTGTCGGCAGGTTTTATATTGGGCCATGCAGTTTCACCTAGAAGCCAGTAGACGTACCTTATGGGTTACAGCCAGCTGTGGCCAATGCAGCTGGGTATATACTTGATCCTTGTTTACTGGCAAAAGTTCTCTGTTGCCTCAGGAAATGGGCTGACTTGTGGAGTACACAGTGGTCTGAACTCCCTGCTCAGCTCCCAGGGAGGCAGCAGCCACAGTGGGCAGGGCCAGGCTGAGCCAGCTCACCTAAAGGTCTCTTGATGGTAGGCACAAGCATCAGTGCAGAGGGAGAATCCAACGAGCAGCCACCAAGCACCCAGATGTGTGCCTAAGTCTGAATCTGGAAAACCTCCTAGGCTCCAAGTCCTCTGCACAGTGATGTAGGGGGAAGCCTAAATTCCTAATCCAGGAGAGTGGATGCTCTGGATGCCTGGAGATCTGCCTGGGCATGGAGCAAAGAAGGCTCCTCTCCACTTGGATCTCTGCACAGGAAAAGTGGGGCAACTCAGGCTGCTAAACCAGGCAAACAGGTGCTCTGAATGCCTAGAGATCTGCCTGGGCATGAAGCATAGAGGGCCCGCATTTACCCAAATCTCTTCACAGAAAGAGTTTGGCAGCTCAGGCTGCCAATCTGTGTAATGAGGTGCTTTGGGTGCCTGGAGATCTGTCTTGGCTTGGAATGCAGAGGACCCCACTGCACCATGATCTATGTCCAGGAATAGTGAGGCGGCTCAGGCTGCTTGACCAGGGAGCAGGCACTCCAAATACCTGGAGATCTGCCTGGGCATGAAGTGGAGAGGGCTTTGCTACACTAGGATCTTTGCACAGGAAGGGTGAGGTGACTCAGGTGAGCGGGTGCTCCAAATACCTGGAGATTTGTCTACATGTGGAACAGAGAGGGCCCCTCTGCACCACAATCTATGCACAGGAAGGGTGAGACAGCTCAGGCTTCTGATCCTGGTGAGGAAGTGCTCCAAATACTTGGAGATCTACCTGGACATGGGGCAGAGAGGGCCCCACTGCACTATCATCTATGTCCATGAGGGTGGGGTGGCTCAGGCTGCTGGTCCAGGCAAGTGGGTGCCCTGAATGCCTGGATTTCTGCCTGGGAGTGAAGTGGAGAGGGATCTGCTGGACCACGAACTCAGGGGAACAGGCTGGGGTAGGCACCCAGCAATGATACATGCAGACTGGTTCCAGTCTGCCAAGATGGCCCTGGCTGCAAGTCTCGTCACCTAGGAGAAACCACAGCTGTAGCAGCTCTCCTTCCACCCCAGGCCTGCAATGGGGAAGAGCACAATTCTAGCACCTACTGCTGAAGCACTGTCTACAGTTCTGGCTATGGATGTCCCTAACCCCTCCAGAGCAGGTGCTCTAATCTCTGGCCCAAGACTAAAATGCTTGCACAGCTATGCAAATTGTCAAAGAATGACTGACTTTATATGAGCCCAAATTAAAAACGGTGTCCTGTCCTTGGTCCTGAATCTGGGAAAATGCCTGCAGCGTTTCCCAGTGTCTTTCCCTCATAGTGTCTTCAAGCCTCATTCCAAGTTAGCTCTAGGGCTTGGGAGAAACAAAATGCTCTCTCTCAGCCTCAGTTGCTTGGATCACTAGTGGAAAGGTGAGTCACAGAGGGAGGCTGTCTGTCTCTCTCATGTACTGGGGCTTCACTCAAATTTTATGAGATAGACACTGTCACAGGGGCTGTTTACCCACATTCTCCTCCTCGGGATTTGGGGTGTCCTTCATGATTCTGGTGGATTCCTGTTTTTCCTCTTGAGTTAAGGCTCACAGAGTTTATCTTTGTGCACTATCATTCTATTTCCAAGTGGCTGAGGCATGCTACAAGCCTCTAATCTGCCATCTTGGAAAAAAAATTAAAAACCGTTTTCTTTATAAATTGTATTTTTTTTAAGTTTTATTTGAAATAAAAAGTTGCAAAAATAGTTCAAGGGATGTCTTAGTAATTTCATCTAAAATCTTTCAAATACTTTTTACCATACTTTCTGTATCGTTCTCTCTCCATTTCTCTCACTTGTTCACTTTGTCTCAATTTATTTATAATTGTTAAGTTAGGTTATTTTGATCCTGTAGTTTTTGCTCTTGTTGTGGGAGAAGAATCACAATAAGCATTAACTTGATCTCTCATGTTTAGGAGCTGGAAGTTTTATAGTTGGGGGAAGCAGGTAGGAAATGAGAAAAACAAATATCCATAGGAACAGGAACTAAGCTCTCTGCTTTAAGTATTTGTTGACTCATCTTGTTTTCAGAATAACAGAAAATTATGTATTATGAGCTTCATTTTTAAGAAAGAGGAAAACAGAGGCTTAAAAACAAAGCTTGCTCATATAGGTATGGGGTCCACATAACTATGAAGCCAGGATCCTAAACCATATTCTTCTTCTTTCCTTTAAAACACACTGCCTGGAGCAACTCAGGAGGACGTACCCCGACACACCCCATCTGGCAATTGCTGAGCCTCCTCATATCATTAGAGTGGGATGTAAATAAATTAGAATAGCTGTGCTTTTTCCATCAGCAAGTAATTAGGCAAGTCACACCTGCCTAAGGTTCATTTGTAAATACATTCTGATTCCTTTCTGAGTTTTATACCTGTCTCTTTGGGCAATTAACAAACTCAGCTGAATTTCCTATGACTCACCTCAAAATGCCATATGCTCACAATGGTTCGTGTATAGAAAAAGCAGCTGACACCTCAATGAAAACATAAACAAACACTGCATATACAAACACTTCTGCTGGGCACATATGCCTAAGATTTATTGTCTCTTAGGTGGCTTTCATCGCTTCTTAAAATAAATAAGCTGAACTAAACTAATTTCTGGAAACATTTACATTCAGACCAAAATTTCTACATCCAAAGAATACATTTTACTGTCAGAGAATGAGTCAGAGATGTTGTAACCTTCAGCATCCTAAGTAAAGGACAACATATCTAGCTAACATGTGTCAAGAACAAAATCATTACCTAGTGTTTGGAATGCCACCAATTTATCAGATAAGAACTTAGCTGGGGCTCTAACTCCATAAAACAAAGAATTTATGACCCTAAGCCTCTTTTATTCCCCAATTTTGCCACTCCCTTGTCATGCACACCCTCCACATTGGGTCAGTCCGCACATTGACTATCTCTGTTCCATCAGACCTATTGATCACTGCTGGGGAAAAGTACCCATCCACATAGGTTGAAGCCACAGAAATCCACAGTCTTCCTTACCACTGATCCTTTACCTCTGTCCCTCTTTGCTCTATCACTGGTCAGTTTTTCCTTCCATTCCCTTTAATGACTGTTCCTCCTTTACTATTTTCCTCAAATCCTTCTCCTACTCTATTTCCCATCAGCAGATGACCTCATAATGCTCTGTGCAAAATTAAAAAAAAAAAAAAGAAAAAGAAAAAAACTCGAGGATATGGGGGATAACATCATTCTACCTCCTGCTCATGGTTAGAAGTTCATGACTAATCTATTCTGACCCCCTTCTAGCTTCTTTCAGATACTTCATCAGTTGTTACCAGTCTTGGCTGCACTTCTGATCTTTTCTATCTCAAGAATGGCTTCTGCTCCAGACAGATATTTAAGAAGGTTGCTCAAATGCTGTTGTCTGTAAACAAAACAAACAAGTAAAAAATTAACAACAACAAGCAACATATACCTCCCTCAATCCTGAATACTCTAATTATTGCTCAAATGGTCTCTTTCCCTTAACAATCAAGTATCCTTAAAAAGAAAAGAAAAGAAAAGAAAAGCTATACACATTTTCTTGTTTCCCACCAGCCAAACTTCTCTAGCCAAAGGAATGAATCACTTCTTTTTCTGCATCCTCACCTTGGTTGGCCTTGTTATAATATTTGATAATTTTATTTACATTGTATAATAAACTGAAAATCATTCTCTATACCCTTCTCCTATGTATACTTATATTTAGAAGTATATAATAAGTAAAAAAAGAATGTAATGGAACTGTTTTTCCCCCACACCAGATGGCTAAGAGAGAGACACTCATGGCTAGTGTAGACTGATAAGTCTGCATTTCTTGTTTCATAAGGAGGCAGGAAAATATCTTCTAGACTGAAAGGGTATACATTATGTCTATGAGACTGAACTGTGCTGTCCTGAACAAAATGAAAAAAAAAAGCTCACTGTAATAAAGTGTGCTGGCTTCCTAACAGTGAAAAAATCAACTACTTGTTGATGGAGAGAATGAATGAGAATTGGAGCATCGATCTGCCTTCACAAATGGGACCAGAGCTGCACTCTTCTCATTTGAACCTTTAAAAAAGTTATTTATTGTCTATTAAAGACTTACATGATCATATCTGGAAGATACAGGAGGGGATAAGGGAACAGAACTTCCTGCTCATGTAGGAAGGCTTGGAATTTTCTGAAGAAGAGAGCAGCTACTGGATATGAGGGCTTGAGTGTAGGAGGTCTGAGAGAAAATTGAAAAAATTAAGAAGTTATCATGTGCCCCTTCCCACCACCCCCAACGTGCACAGACTGTACCACTCTGAGATCTATGTGACCCGTTGGAAAAATAGCAACCTATATTTCCAGTATAGTCCAATGCCTTGTCTGGTGAAAACAAACCAGGAGTTACTAAGAACTGGAGAAAGGGAGATTAACTGTTCGATGCTCACCTTGCTAGGGGGATGGAAGATGGCTGTGCCGGCAGATATTGATTGGGCTGTGGAGCTGGCCCACTCGGTGATATAACAATGCCAGGCTGGCAGCAGAGGCGAAGACTCCCCATGTGTGAAACCTGATTCCCTATCGTGTATTTTAGCAAGTTACAGAAAAGGAGAGGCCCTGCCAAACCTGCATTCATCTCTAATTCAAGTCCTGATTGCTCCATAAGCTCCAAATAGAACTGCATTCCCCAACTCCAGGCTGTTCTCTTTTCTCATGCTCTTAAAACCTCAAAAGTTACCCATTTAAGAAACTTTCCTTCCCACTACAACTAGTTCCTCCTGCTTAATTTAGAGATTTGGAAAATGACAGCATCATCTACTCATCCCCCGTGGATGTTATCTGCCATTCTTCCTCTATTCTTGCCCAAATATTTTTCATACATTTCTTCCTAGAATTCCCAATTATACTCATTATTTTTTGTCCACACTATTACAAAAATCACTCCGTGTTTTCCTTGCCTCTCTCTCTAGTCTTCTAGGCCTCCATCCTATCCTGCCTACTGATGGAAGAGACACATTTCTAAAACCCAAAACCCTTTAAACATTCTCCACTGACTATAGGATGAAACAAAACTCCTCCTTAGCCTGGTCTATAATGCACTCCAAGATCTGTCCCCTGTCTACCTCTCCAATGTCACTTACTTTGACTGTCTCCCTTGTCCAGTCACCCTCACCTCCTTTCCGATCCTGAAACACACCAAACTCATTCCTGCTACATGGTCTCCTCACATGCTAGTGAGCTAGGGAGACATTGGCTCACTTCCTCTAACCCTCTTCCCCAAACTCGGCCCCACTTCACTCACCTTCTCAAATGGCAAACTCTTGTGGTTGGGGTATTGGCTTAAATGTCTTTTCAAAGAGGCCATCCTGTTCTAAATGATTTACCACTACGACTCTACCTTATTCTTTATTACTACCACCCACTTTTTTTGTTATGGCTACTATCACATTATGTGAATACTCACTTAATTGTTAACTGGACAGTTTATCGACTGTCTCCCATTAGTGTGAAAGTGTCAAAAAACCAGAAACTCTCTCTATAAATATTTTAGTCCCTGGTACCTAGTAGATGCCAATACAAATTGGTTGAATGAATGCCATATAAACTAATGAATGAATGCCGTATAAACTAATGAATGAATGCAGGCTATGAGATGTTCACAGCTGCCTCACATCAGTGGACCTTCACTCACTATGATTCCTAAGCCTAGAGAAGGCCCTTTGTCTACTCCACCATAATGGGAAACACCTACCCCTACAGCTTCCATCCCTTAGTGCTGGCATCATTTGCTCTTTTAAGTCTTATCTGACTTCCTCCATTCATTCCCGGGTAGAGTTTTAAGCTCCCTTCTTTATACTTCATCTCTAATTTGCTTCTATCATAGTGCTTACAACACTTACACATTCTATTTGTTTGTATATTTCCTCCTAAGAAAATCATTAATTCTTTAAGGATGAGGACTATCTTAGTCATCACTCTACCCCTAGTATCTAGCCCAGTGCCTGACACTAAATTAAAGTAATTTTTAAATTAGCAAATAAATGGCTGAATGAGACATGCTTATGACTCTATTTTTTCTTATAGCACATGAAGCATTTCACTGCAGAAATTATTGACAGTCTTCTCTGTGCACATCACCATCCATTAACTGGGGTTCTGGGATATACAGCAGCTCAACATACAGGTTAATACTTGGTAAATTACATCCTTTCCAAAAAGCAAGTCATGCCAGACTGCACAGAGAAAAGGAAAGACACCATGAAGAGAGGTCAGTAGTGGTAAGTCCATTAAGTTTGCAAAATACTGTGCAAAACTGAGCACCAATGGTCCATGACCTTAGTAGGGTAAAAGGATAGTTTCAGAAGTCACACTGACAGTGTTGAGTATACAGATGGTCAAGCAAGGTAGAGTCAGAGGAATTATTCTTTTTAGATTGTCTATACCTGAATATGAGGAGCATCACATTTAAACCCTAAGACCACTTAAACCACATTTAGCACCAAAGGGCAAGCAGGATTTTGCACTGGCAGTTATTTAACTTTCAATGCCCTTGTCTCTAGTCAAATTGCCCTTAACATAATCTGTCAATGAAATGATTATTTCTCCTGATAGTGGATGGACCATTTATATTTAGTTATTTAACATGACAATGCACAATACTGAGGCTTACACAGCCACCTTAGAATGAAGTTAGTTGATTTTTTTTTTTCAAAATATGACTCTCCCTGACATGTTTTGCCTCAATTGGTAATGTTATTTGGTTATTTACATAATTATGGAAAAGCCAAGTACTTTATTTGTCATATATTATTTTCCTGATCCCCACAGCCACCCTAAGAATAAGATATGAAAAATATTCATTAAATAGACTCTTCCACTTCTAGCAACATGGTGGATGAGGTGCCCTCATTCAACCTTCCCACAGAACCAACTGAAATGTTCAATAAAATACAAAAAAAAAAAATCACTATGCTGGCCTAAGAAAGAAAATGTGCTATGCTCCAAAGTAAAGTAAAACCAAAAATTTGGGGAATAAGTGACTATTGAAGTCATCTTTGAACCTGAGAGTTTCCTGCCAACCCCTAGAGATTTTGAGTTTTGGTTTGACAACTCCACAGATCCCAGGAAATAGGAGAAACAGCCCAAAGCTTGTCCACAGTGGAAAATTTAATAGACCACTGCAAAAAGCTGGTACTCAAAAAAGCCACAAACGTAATACAAAAGTGAACCAGAAACAAAACACTTTTGCAAAGGGAGTGGCAAGAAAAATTACTGCACTTGGCTCCAGTGCTACTCTGGGAAAGTATCCATGTATATCCCCAAGCTGGTTTTCAGTACAAATGCACACTACTAATGTAGTTTGATAGTCATGAAGTAAATAATTTAACTTCATCTGGACTTGTGTTGAGCATGCTGCTGGGTGACTAGCAGAAGAAATTCTCTCAGGAATATAACTTAACCCATTATAAAGTGTTCCCCCAGATGCAGTTCCAAATAAATAGTCACCTTACAATCAATATTCATAAAGCATACTAGTAATGCGATATTACAAATAAAAACTAGCTGAAAAAACCGACATTAAAAATAAACCTCCAAAGACATAATCTAATTGGAAATAGATTTACCAGGTCCCCTCAAATTTCATGTATTGGTCCCCTCAAAATTTAAAGCATAAATATTAATATCAAAGTGCCCTTTAAGGCATTTAAGGTAAAGAAAATCACTACATAATGATCAATGTTACAATTAATTAGAAAAATACAGTATAATAATTCTAAATTTATACGCACCTAACATCATAGTCTCAAAATAGGTAAAGAAAAACTGTTAACAAGAAAAAAATATCAAATCTCTTGTTGTAGTGGAAGATTTAACACAATTCTCTCAAACAGACAGATTAAGCAGTCAAAAAAAGAAGTTAATAAAGATATATAAGATTCAAATAGCACAGACAAACATGTTTCACCTAAATCGGCTATACAGAACAATGCACCCAATAGCTGGAAAGTACACATTCCTTTCATGCACACGAGATAGTTACAAAAATTAGCTATACACTAAGCCATAAAGATAGCCTTAACAATTATCAAAGGATGGGTAACAGGCAGATAACATTCTCTGCTTACAATAAAATTAATTTACAATCAACATTAAATAGATAACCAGAACATACTTGAAAAACTTCACATATTTGAAAATTTTAAAGAAAGTATTGAATAATTCATGGGTTAAAAAAAGTAACAATAAAAAAAATTAGTACTGACAGAAAATGAAAATATCACATAGAAAAGCCAGTGGTATAGAGATAAAGTGGCATTTAAAGGAAAATAAATTCTATTTTTTTTTTTTGAGACAGAGTCTCACTTCATTGCCCAGGCTGGAGTGCAGTGGTGCACTTTTAGCTAACTGCAGGCTTCACCTCCTAAGTTCAAGCAATTCTCCTGACTCAGCCTCCCAAGTATCTGGGATTACAGGCATCCGCCACCATGCTCAACTAATTTTTTTTTTTTTGTATTTTTAATATAGACGGGTTTTTGCCATGTCGGTCAGCCTGGTCTCGAACCCCTGACCTCTGGTGATCCACCTGCCTCAGCCTCCCAAAGTGCTGGGATTACAGGCATAAGCCACTGCACCCGGCCTCTCTGAAATTTTTATATCAGAAAAGAATAAGGTATGAATAAACAACATTAAGAAAGAAAATAAGGACATAATTACACAAGCGGAAGAACTTGAACAGCTTACAGTCAAGGTTAAAAGTCAGATTAAATAGAAACATTACAGAAAAAATAAGGACAACTTGTCAAACTTGTTTCAAAAATAAATAAGAAAACCAGAAAATATTATTTAATCAATCATGAATTTTAATTAACAGGTTAAAAAGTTCTCACAAGAAAGCACCAGAACTATAGAGGCAAATTCTCCCAAACATACAAGGAAGAGCTCATTCTAATGTTATTAATGTTACACACACTCTTCAGAGAATTTAAAAATAAAAGAGTATTATGTCACTTAATTTTAAGGGATAAGCACAACCTTGATACCAAAAGGAGACAAAGACACAAAAGAAAGAAAATTACAAGCCTCTCACCACCTTGAATATATATGCAAATCCTAAACAAAGTAAAAGCAAATTTAATCAAGCAATGTATAAAAAAGATAATATATGATGACAAATGGATTTATTCCAGAACTGCATGCACAGTTTAACACTATAAAATCAATTCATGTGATTATCTCAATAGCAGATTAAAGGAGAAAAACTATCTGATAATTATAATAGATGTGGGAAGAAGCATGTAATAAAATTCAACATCCATTCATGTTAAAAATCTTATAGCAAGTGGGGAATAGAAAGACACATCCTTAACCTCATAAATGAATACACACACACACACACACACACGCACACACACACCTTCAGTAAATGTCATACTTAATAGTAAGACGTTAAGAGCATTTCTTTGAAGATCAGAAACAATACAAAAATACTCACTATCACCGCATATAATAAGCATTGTTCTGAATCATAAAAAAGAGAAAATAAAGAATATAACAGAAGCAAAGGGGAAAAAAAAACTTGTCAGTTTCAAATGATATATCGGCATAAAAAATTCTAAAGTTTTGCAAAAATTATTTAAATTTTAAAAGTATATCATTTTAAAATACAAAACAAATATAGAAAAATCCATCACATTTTTCTATACCAGTAGGAATCATTTTTAAAAGAAATTATTAAAGAATATATTATTTGTAATAGCCACAAGTATATAAATTATCCAATAAAAATATGATGTGAAAGCAAGCTCTTTATACAAAAAAAAAATAAAATTTTATGAAACCAATTGTAGAATCTTACTTAATGGTGAAATAACATGTTCTCAAAACCTTGGAGAGGAGCATTAGATATCATAGGAATGTCCTTTTTTCCCGATAGGAATATCATTTCAATAAAATCTCAATGAAAAATCTCAATAGACATTTTATATTTTTGTTTTAAAAGTAGACAAGCTGATACCAAAATTTATTTAGAAGTGAAAGAGGCCAAGAATAGTTAAAATACTACCAAAGAGGCCGGGTGCAGTGGCTCATGCCTGCAATCCCAGCACTTTGGGAGGCCAAGGCAGGCGGATCACCTGAGGTCAGGAGTTTGAGACCAGCCTGACCAATGTGGTGAAACCCTGTCTCTACTAAAAACACAAAAATTAGCCAGATGTGGTGGCGGGTGCCTGTAATCCCAGCTACTCGGGAGGCTGAGGCAGGAGAATCACTTGAACCCAGGAGGCGAAGGTGGCAGTGAACCAAGATCGTGCCATTGCATTCAGCCTGGGTGACAAAGAGTCCATCTCAAAAAAAAAAAAAAAAAAAAAAAAAAAAAAAAAAAACTACCAAAGAGGCAAAACAAAGTACAAGACTACAAGACTTCCCCACGAGGTATCAGAATTTATTTAAAGTGACATAAAGCTAGTAACATATGAGTGCAGAGATGGGCAAATAAAACACAAATCAGAACTAAAATAACAGAAACAGACCCACGTCTATAAAAACATGATTTACGTCAGAATTGGTATTACACCTCAGTGGCCAGAAGGATTCCATATATAATGTGAGAGAAAGACAAACCAATAGCAAAATGTGGGGGGAGGGAGGAGAGGATGAACAGAAACATCACAAAAGAGGAAATCCAAAGGGCTAAAGAAATATTTGAGAAAATGTTCAACCTTATTTATTATCAAAAAAATGCCAATTAAAACTACAATGAGATACCATCACATACTCATTGGACTGGCAAAAATCAGAAAGTTAGCCAGGATGTAGAGCAACTCTCATTCACAACTGGCAGGAAGTTAACTCTGTGTAATGACTTCAGAAACCAGTGCAGTATTCCCTAGTAAAGTTAAACATCTGCCTGCTCCTAGATACTATGATTCCCTTCTAAGTATATACTCGGTTAGGAGAGACTTTGAACCACATCATAGCAGCATCCCTTGTAACAGCAAATATTCAGGAACAACTCGGATGTTATCAAAAGTAGATTGGATAAGTAAATGTCAGTCTGTTCATATAATGGAATATTATATAGCAATGAAGAAAAACTATAGTGGTAAAGTTAAATTGTTTCTTTGTTGTTTGTTTTAATGTCCTTGCTGGTAGCAAGACTGTACGGGGAAAACTGATCATTTAATCAACATATATAAAATTCACCCAGACTCACAAGAAAAATAAACTATGGCCAACTCAGCTACAATGTACATCACAGACCATATAATAATAACACTTCATTCAGATCCATATATCCTAACAGAAAACCACAAACAGACCTTTACATGGATTCATGCATTCTAAAGATAAACCCATTGACAATTCCAGCAACTCTCTGGCTTACAAATCCTGACCAATCCCTGCCAAAAAAAAAAAAAAAAAAAAAAAAATCTATGATCAACTCTACCCTTCAAATCTTATAAATACCCTCCCATAACTCCCCTTTGAAAGGCTCAGTGATTCTCTATTCTCTATTGCTGCAGCCAGTTAATAACTCTAACATTGTTTGACTACACATCTGGCTCTAGTGGTCTTTGGACCCAGGCTTTATTAATAGCTACACACGTCTGTGTGGATGAATGGGAAAAAAAAAAACATTGAGTAAAAGATATATGTCAAAGGATAGTACTACATTATGGCTCAAATAATTTAAAACATCAGAGGCAAAATTAAGTTTTTTTTATGAAATATTTATATGATTAAATCAAAAAACAGACAGAAAAGAAAATAACAAAATATTCTGAAGAGAAGAGAAGGATAATGAGACCTGGGAGAGACACACTAGTGGCAATGTTCTACTTTATGTTAACATGGATAGTGGGCAAATAGGTATTTATTTTATGTTTATGTTCTACATAAATTGTTTTGTATATGTAATATGACTCATGATTTTAAAAAATTACATCCCCACAAGAGAAAGCTGGGGCTGACTTTGGGTAAATGGTTTGCCCAAGCTGTCCAGCTAATTAGGACATAAAACTTTTGATGACAGACATTCATGCACTGCTGTATTCCCAATGCCCAGAATATTTCATGAAGCAGATTCACAATCAAGTTTGTTGAATAAATGAAGAAGCTTGGACTCAGTACCCACCTATTCTTTTTACTCATGACACTATAATACTTGGTCCAGAAGTCTCAGGAGTGCATCTGGTGTCCATACAACTATCAAGGACCTTTCCATTTAAATATGAAACTTATATTCTATAGTCTTCCACTTCAAGAATTTCATGGGCCACATCTGGCCCATTCCTATTTTATAAATAAATCTTTATTGGAACACAACTATACCCATTTGTTTATTTATTGTCTATGTCTGCTTTTGTGTGACAAAGTCAGAGCTCAGTAGTTGAAAAAGAGATCTTCTGGCACAAAAAGTCTAAAATATTTACTATCTGGCCCTTTACAGAAAAAGTTTGTCAATCCCTGCTCTATTTCATCATTAATATCGACTCAATCCTCCTCCCAAAGCTAGTCTGTGACTTGCTTCACAGCCCTGGCAAATTCTTTCGCCTCTCAAAGTTTTATTTCCTCATTGTGCATGGTGTTCATCACCCCAAGGGAGTGGTGCCGATTCATCATTCATACTGCCTGAAAGGAAACAAACATTGCTCGCAAGTGTTGCTAATTTTCACTCCTAATTTCTCCAGTGCTGTTTGGAAAGGATTCTTCCTTTCTCTCATTGCTTCTTTATTTATCTCTCCCTTGCTCTTTATTACCAAGGAAATCTCTGTGCGGATAGGATATTGTTTTCCTTTTCTTTCTTTACAAAAGCCCATCTGCTCTCTTGCCACCTAATTCCCACCTCAAGTCATCCCCCTCTGTTTGTGACATCATGATTGGTTGCTATGGAAACAGATGAGCTAGAAACTAGGTTGATTCAAAGTGTTTTGTGGACACTTCCTTTAAGAACAGTATTGATAGACTGCCTTTATGCAAATCCCTTTGGAAGAAAGGATGGAGAGGAAGAAGCCGGAAACAGATGAGAGGCAGGAAATACCAAATTGCATGTTTATAAATGCTGTGAAGGAATATGGCAAGAGGGGATAATGCTAGACTGGCGGCCATGGAAACTGAAGTCTTCTGTTTGTTCACAGGACGGCTCATAGCCCTGAAAGTCCCAGTTCAAGCTTCCACAATCATCCTACACAAGAGCACTGCTTCTCACAGGACTGCCTCAGCCTGGCAGGATTCAGTCTCCTGCTCTGAGGGAAAAACAGGAAGTCAAGGATCAAGACCGAGTGCTCAACTGAGATCAGAAAGGAGGACACACAGTGACTTGGCCAAATCACTGGAGATTCACACAGCAGAGCTCAGACGAGTGCTATCAGCACAGCTGAGGAAGACAACAGTTAGGGTAAGATGGAAAATGTGGTCTTGTCATCTTCAGACCCTCTGACCCATTTTTCCCTTACCATGAATTTGCTCCTCCACCTCACAGATAAAATCTAGTCAGACAGGAAGAGCATTATTTCGGTGGCCTGCAGAAAGTCAAGGGACCCACTGATTGCTGAATCCTCTGAAGTGGGGTCACCTCCACAATGACTGACCTCTGGGTTTCTCAGAGGAGGAGACAGATGTTCAAATTACCGAGGGGTAGAGCAGGCATGAGAGCCAGGGCCGTCAGGCTTCCAAACCCACTCCGTTCACTCCTGCGTTTGATGGCTTGTTCCTGTCCACCCACGGCATGAGTGGGTGTGGTTCTTTAGTATAAGCCGTGTAGGAGAGAAAGAGGAGGAATACAAGAAAAAATGAATCAAGCACAGCTCAAAGTTCTAAGGAATCATTTGGGGCCTCTGGAAGAGCCTTTCACTCCAAGATGAGTTGGGATTTATTTCAACTCGGAAACAGAGTTTCAGTCATTAAGATAGGACACTTCTCCCCTGTAACTTCCTCTAAACCTTTTACACTACTGTCATGGGACCCTGTTAGGCATCCTTCATGGGTCTATCTTTAGTAGACAAGCTAGGAATAAAGAAATAGGTGAGGGATAGAAGGAAATTCATTTGCCAAAGCAAAAATTAGATACATTTGGATTCATTTGAATAAAATGAATGAGATAGTGCTTTAGTCTTTGCTGAAAGCTGTCTCTAACTTGTTGTACTAAATATAGATAAGGTTTTTTCCTGAGAGCTTTAGGCTGAAGCAGGATGTTTTGTAATGCTTGCTATTTCCTCCCCTCTGGTATTTTCTGAAACTACAGATGGGAAAGGCTATATCCTTCCCTTTGACCAGTGCCACTTTGGAGTTAAATGCTAGCTATAGTATTCCCGTGTGAAATAAAAGGAAGGTAGAGGACTAATATTTTATTGAGCATCTACTGTGTGCCTAGCACTGTGTTTTACATATACTTTTTTTTTTTTTTTTTTGAGAAAAAGTCTCACTCTGTCACCCAGGCTGGAGTGCGGTGGTGTGATCTCAGCTCACTGCAACCTCTGCCTCTCGGGTTCAAGTAATTCTTCTGCCTCAGCCTCCCAAGTAGCTGGGACTACAGGCGCGCACCACCTCACTCGGCTAGTTTTTTTTTGTATTATTAGTAGAGACGGGGTTTCACCATGTTGGTCAGGCTGGTCTCCAACTCCTAACCTCGTGATCCGCCTGCCTTGGCCTCCAAAGTGCTGGGATTACCAGTGTGAGCCACTGCGCCCGGCCCCACGAATTTTTTAAGCTTTACCATAGTCATATGTGAAAATACTACAGGTATTTCATTTTACAGATGATGAAACTGAGGCTTAACTAGGTTGCCCAACAGTCAATACCTTTAGAAGTCTACCTAGCTACTCTGAGAGAAAGCCCAAATGTGAGTGCAGATAAGAGTGACTCCAATACCTACACCTGAGCTATAACTCTTGACATTACATTTCAGTAGCTTGCCTATCCATTTGAGTTTCACCATTAGAAAGGCTTTCGGGTTACCCTGGGTATTAAAATGGCATTGTATAAAATGGGCAATTACATTTCAGCTTGCAATGAACAAGGAGGATGGAGTGAAAGATTATGGGTATGAGTATTTAACAAGCACCCTCTCTTTACGCTGTGTTAGGAAAACATACCTTACCTCATTAATCCTCACCACAACCTTAGGAAGGTGGGAATATTATCCCTATTTACAGATAAGGAACCCGAAGCTTAGACAGTTTAAGCCACTTTCCAAAATTCAGAAAATCGAGATTTCCAATCCAAGTCTGATGACAAGCCCATGTTTTACAACTCTATCAAAATGCCTTATTTCCTGGAAAACATGCCCTTGAAAACATGGCTTTTTATGGAATTCACAACGAGAAAAGATGGAGCTTGAAGATTAAATCTCACTTCCTACACGGCTGGTTTCTGAGTGAGGTGCTCAGGATTAAAGGGACTTCCTACTGGGGAAGCAATGTCTCAGGAAAGCCAGTCACTGTTACAAGCGGGAGCTCCAATTCATTCCTGAGTGAAGGGTTCCTCTTGGGCTAAGAACCAGAGGTGGTGATAATGATGCCTCCCAGGGTGTCTTCAATAAAATTAAGCCCAGGTCCTACAGAAATGTCTGTGCAAAGAGACCCACCATAGAGGAAGGGGCCATAGAATTTCTCCAGTTGGTTCCTGCTCCTTAAATTTCATCCTTCTTTTGGATATCAAGCAAGAATTCACTGTGCTGCCAAAACCAGGCTGGCCATGGGGACACCATGCCCTTTTTTAATGTGAATTCATTCCCAGCTCCTGTCTTGACTCCCCCAGCATAGACCAGGCTGGCACTCTAAAGGAAGATCTTACTAGCCAGAAAAAATAACTAAACAGAACTAGGCAAATGAAGTAGCATGCAACAGGCTATCCTGGTTTAGGTGTGGTAACTCCTCTTGTTTGGCCAAAGGCCTCTCTCAGAGTGGGAGGCCATTTCCATGAATAGCTCCTACCCATCCCACCTATACCCAGGAGAGGTCAGTTCCTTCTCCTAAAATACCCTTGGGCATATCCAAACCTCAAAGATAGACTATAAGCACCAGGAGGGAGAGCAGGAATGATACCTATTTAATATATATTCAGATAGCCTCAATAAGCAGAATCCTGTGGCAGTAAGGATCTAGGCGTTTATGATTCTGATATCACCCATCTCATTTAGTAGGGCTCATCATCTAACTTGTGTGTGGGTGCCTTCCAACCCTGTCTCTAATTATTTGAGCCTCAGCTCTAAAAATGCTAAATGCCTGCTCCCACTTAATGAACAATACAGGGTTGAAAAAGCCTAGCTCTTCTGACCAGCTCTGAACTAAAGATAATCTTGGTTCATTAAAAACCCCATCAGCTTTATCTCTAAAGTTATTCCAAGAAAGTGCTTGAGCATTTCATAATTAACATGTGGCAGCAGGTGCTATGAACAAAGCAGGACAATTATAATAACTTGAAGTCAATAATTCATAAATGATAATGTATTATTAATCAATTATTGGGGTCTGAACAACAGTTAATGAGATTAAGCTGATTGCCAGGCTGAACTGTTGGATACATATTGATTTAATCAGAGTGCTTAATTAAACTATGTAAGTTGCCCAGCAAATCATTACATCACAGCTTCCTTCAAAGGAAGACAGTTTCTATTTCGCTTTCCTTTTCCTTGTGAATTAGAAATTGTTATTGATTGAAAAGAAATTAAGATAAGGATTCTTGCTTTTCATAACAACTTAAGAAACTGCCATACCCTCTGGCTACATTTCTTTTTAATCATAAGGAATAAATGTTGTTTGCGTAAGTGTGCTTAGACTGCAATTTGGTATGTGGGAATTCTTTGTTTTTTTTCTAAAGAGTTCAGAATCTGAATAAACAAGACTACATTATATACCTAAACAAAGAAGATAGTCACTTACAACCCTCCATTTTAAAGACCAAGAAAATCGACCTCAAAGAAATAAGTCCTGCAAAATATTGAGATAATCCATGATTCAAATTCAGGTGTCCCCCACTTCTTACCATGACTAAAGTGTTCCCAAAACCTCAAATTAAGCTTCCATCTGCTGAAAACCAGAGAAGCATACCCATTTGACTCTATGGGTTTCCAACAGCACCTTCCAGAAGCTGAAAGCTGCTTCCCCAGCAGCTTAAAGTTTTTAGAATCACTCATTATTTACAACGACGCATAAATCCTTTTCTTTTGACATGCAGGTCCTTTCACTTGTCATGTTGCTAATGATGGGAGTTATTTTTGTTGAACATTGAACAAAATGTTTTTTGCTCAGTGTTTCAGCCCAATGATCCTGCCTGAGGGGAGACAGTGACAGCTCTGTTGAAGCATCCTGGGGTACAGAGAGCCCTGCTGGTCTTTCTAATTAGGGCTTTACCCTGTCAGTTTCATGAATAGCCACTTCCTAACGGGATGTGCATCACTACATGTTGAGAATGCCCTTGCCCTGTAAAATTCTGGGATGTCAAAATCCACAGCTGCCACCTGGACTCGTTGCTCAATGAGCCACAGAAAATCAGCTGCAGGGAAGATACACATAGGACACTGGGGTAACACCAATTCCCTCTGAGCTGCAGCATGCAAGCTCTTAATGCGATCATCTGTTACCAGGAAAGGCAACAATGCGCACAGTTGCTTAAGGGGAGAACTTGATCACTTGATCATTACCAAGGTGGCTCATGGACATACATTTTAATTATCACATTTGGGGCAGTTAATTTGCCCAGTGACTCAGCTCATAACCTGTGTTTCCAAATCTCTCTTGTGAAGGGAATCAGTGAAGTGAGCTCCCAGCTACCGCCTCGAGAGGCTGCTATTGACAATCTCCTGTCTGGCCAAACAACTTCCTTTCTACAACTTTGCCTGGGCGAATGGCAGTAGGAAAACACCACCAACAAATTGGAAATTGCCACATCATTCACATCGGTTTTCCTCTACTGAATCCAATCCCTGCTTTCAAGAAGAAAGAAGTGGTAGTACAATACAATCTCAGCATTCTGTAATCTGGCTTGAATGTGACTGTAAGTTTTGTTTTGGGGTGAGGGGATGTCCCTGTGGCCATAATCACTCATCACTTACTCTAACAGAGAAATGAAGACTCCCACTAGGTCATGAACATTCATTGTGAAAAAATAGCTAGGATTCATATCTGGGTTCTACTACATCACTCTATCCTGATTTTTGAGAGCATGGGAACATCGATCAGCTATGCTGAGAATTATTCACTGTCCCAATTACTGTAATTACACCCGCCCTGTAAGTTACAATTTAGAAGTTCCATCTTGGGACTGAGAGAATTTCCACCAGCTGCAAGGGAACAAGCTCCTTCCGCAGCTGAAGGTACCTCAAGCAAGCCTCACAGATCAGAACAGCTGGGTGTGGTATATCGAATAACTTGTCTTTTTGAGCTTTCTGGTGTTGATGTTGGATACAGGTGACTAAAAACACACATGAGGTGCCTCTGGGTAAATTAGTCATCTTACAAGCGGAAAAAATAAAAATCACACTCTTCTGTTGATATTCGTGATGTCAAAAAAAAGAAAAAAAATAGGAAGCCCCGGAGAAAACCCGGGTTTTGGTTGGAATCTTAATTCAGGAACTCCAAAATATTTCTTCACTAAAATTCTTACTATCTGCTAAGGAAAAAAAAATTCCAAGAACCATAAAAGAAAGCGTATTCTTTTCAGCAGGAATAATGTCAATTCTAAACGTAGAATAGCAGATATGCTATTTCAAATTACAAACAGACCTTCAAATTCATATTATCCATTATAGCAAACAAAAAATAGACTTTCATTTTTCTTTCTAATGGAAGAAAGTAGCATGTAAAGTAGAAAGATCAAGGGGGTAAGAACTTCCATTTTTTGCAGAATAATAGACTAACTATTCTGAACAACCTGCCAAAGGAAACAACAAAAATGTTGAATTTCTTTTCAAAAGTCATTTTTGATGCATTGCTGAATTGGTCTGAAAGAATAAATCTGTAAGTGCCAAGAACAAAGGGAAACCAAAAACACAACTTGGAAAATAAGCAAGCGTCGAAGCCTGTCTCTCCCCCTGAAGGTTTCAACTGAGCCTTGGAGACCTTGAGCTTCTGTTCTGAGGGCTGCAAGGGACGCAGGGAACCAGGAGTGAAGCGCGGGGCCCACCCACGGCAGGGCATCCAGTAGGAAATCCCTGCATAAAGCTAAGTGTCCAAAGGTCTTTACTCTTAATTCACAGAACGGGAGAGCAGGAACAGCTTTTTATGTCAAATTTTCCCTAGGAATTTATAATGATAAGCAAATCCTCACATACGTTTGAATTTATGATCCATATGTGATCCCAAAAATCCATAGTAGAGAATATGGTCATCCCAGTTTGCTAGCACTCTCAGTTGACTAACAGAGGCAAATAGAAATGCTTTTGCCAGGCCAGCTTCTGTGGCCCCAGGCTCTAGGCTGGCCCCCACGGCTCCATGCCTCAGTGGACCCATGGTCCAACCCTGCCTCAGTAGAGGTGCTCGTTCAGCCCCTGCGAACACAGGCTCCAAGCCAGTCCCCTGAGATCCAGTGAACAGGTCCACCCCAGGGGCCCCCTGCACCAGGCTGACCCTTGGAGAACTAAGATTCAGGGCCACCCCCAGCAGATCCCAGCTTTAGGCTCCCCTCAGTGAATCCAGGCACAGACCCACTCACCTGCTGACCCTGGAACTAGCCACCTGCCCAAGGACTCCAACAGGAAGCCTGCCTGTGGATCATGCCAAACGCCCACCAAGAATCTTTGGATCAATGAAATTAAGAGTTGCTTTTTCAAAAAAATAAACAAAATTGACAAACCTTTAGCCAAACTAAGTAAGAGAAAAAGAGAGGAGGTTTAAATAAAATTTTAAACAAGAGGCATTACAACTGATACCACAGAAATACAAAGGATCATAAGCGACTACTATGAACAATTCTGTGGCAACATATTAGACAACCCAAAGAAATGAATAAATTCCTAGAAACATAAACCTACCAAGACTGAATCATGAAGAAACAGAAAATATTAACAGAAGACCAATAACAAGTAAGGAGATTGAATCTGTAATCAAAAAACTCCCAACAAAGAAAAGCTCAGGATCTGATGGCTTCGCTGGTAAATTCTACCAAGTATTTAAAGAATTAACTCCAGTCCTTCTCTAACTCTCCCAAAAAATTGAAGACAAGGGAACATTTACAAGCTAATTTTTCAAGGCCAGCTTTACTCTATGACTGAAGCTAGACAGGGATATTATAAGAAAAGAAAATTATAGGCCAATATATTTGATAAACATAGATACAAAAATTGCCAATGGAATACTAGCAAACAAAATTTGAGAGCACATTAAAACATCATACACCATGATCAAGGGGGATTTATCTCTAGGCTGCAAGGATGTTCAACATGTACAAATGTGTTACAAAACATGAACAATAAATGTTATTATTGTGATACACAACATTAACAAAATGAAGGATAAAAATCATATGGTCATTAAAACAGATGCATAAAATGCCATAAAATTCAATATCCTTTCATGATAAAAACAACTCTCAATAAATTAGTTATAGAAGAAACTTACTGCAACATGATAAAGGCCAAATATGACAAGCCCACAGCTAAATACATACTCAAAGACAAAAAGCTGAAAGCTTTTCCTCTAAGATCAGGAGTAAGACAAGGATGCCTACTCTCACCACTTCTATTCGATATAGTACTAGTGGTCCTAGCCAGACCAATTAGGCAAGAAAAAGAAATAAAAGGCATCCTAATTGGAAAGAAAGAAGTAAAAATTTTTCTGTTTGTAGATGACATAATCTTATATGTAGAAAACTCTAAAGACTTTCACACAAAAACTGCTACAACTAATAAATTTGGTAAGTTGCAGAATGCAAATTTAACATACAAAAATCAGCAGTGTTTCTATACACTGACAACAAACTATTTGAAAGGAAATTTAAAAAATCTCATTTACAATAACATAAAAATAAAACTTAGGAATAAATTTAACCAAGGAGGTGAAAGAGCTCCACACTAAAAACTATAAAACATTGAAAAATAAATTGAAGAAGACACATATAAATGGAAAGGTATACCATGTTCATGGGTTGAAATAATATTGTTAAAATTGCCATACTATCCAAAGCAATCTACAGACCCAATTCAATCTCTATCAAAATTCCAATGATACTTTTCACAGAAATAGATAAAACAATTCTAAAATTCATATGAAACCACCAAAGATCCCAAATAGCCAAAGCAATCTTGAGAAAAATAAAGAACAAAGCTGGAGACATCACAATACCTGATTTTAAAATATACTACAAAGCTGTAGTAACCAACTCCACATGGTACTATCATAAAAACGAACTTACAGACCAATGGAACAGAATAAGGAGCCAGAAATAAATCCATGCATATGTGGTCAATTGATCTTTGATGCAGGTGTCAAGAGTACACAATGGGGAAAGGACAGTCTCTTATATATGTTGTTGAGAAAACTAAATATACAGATGCAGAAGAATGAAATCAATCCCTTATCTTACACCATATACAAAAATCAACTCAAAGTGAATTTAAAACATAAATGTAAGACCTAAAACCATAAAATACCTAGAAGAAATATTATAGACTGGGTGGCTTAAACAACAGAAATTTATTTTAACGGTTTTGGAGGCTGGAAGTCTGATAGCAGAGTGCCAACAAGGTCAGGTTCTGAAGAGGGCTCTCTTCCTGGCTTGTAGATGGCCACATCTTCTCTCAGTGTCCTCACATGGCAGAGAGAAAGGGAGTAATCTCTCTTGTGTCTCTTCTTATAAGAACACTAGTATCATCAGGGCCCCACCCATATGATCTTGTTTAACCTTAATTACTTCCTTACTTCAAATACAATCACATTGGGGATTAGGGTTTCAACTCATGAATTCTAGGGGAGAAACTGACCTAAATTCATACATAGGAATTCGTTATAGAGCAATGAAAAATGAGTAACTCAGATGCCAACTCAAACATGTTAACATAGTTTAATCTTTAAAATATGTTTAATAAGATAAGCAATTATAAATAGAATTATATAATGTTTCTGTTTATGTAAAGTCCCAAACAGGCAAACTCAATAGTAGATGGTCAGAGATATATAAATATGTGATTTAAAAGTATAAAGAATAGCAAAAGACCATTTAGCACAGAATTCAGGATGGTAGTTACTCTGAGGTAGTATGAGTGAAAGCCATTGAGCAAATTGTTATGGGGACTAAAATATAGGTAAATGTCATATTTCTTAAATTGGATTGTGTATACATAGATGTCCATTTTATTATTGTTCTTTAATCTAGGTCTATATGTTATATAAATTATTTTATAAGATACTAAAAACAAAACTGTTTGTCTGATTAGAGAAGACCTAATTTTTTTTTTAAGACAGGGTCTCACTATACTGTCCAGACTAGACTCAAACTCCTAGGCCCAAGTGATTCTCCCACCTCAGCCTCTCAAATGGTTGGGACTACAGGCACACGCCACCCTATGCTGCTGAGAGAAGACCTAAATTCTGATTTCTCACTCCATATTTAATAGCTATGCAACCAGGCACATCACTTTTATTCCCTAGGTCTTACTTCCATCATCTGTAAAAAGGGAAACTTTTTCCTAACACATTATGCTTACAAGTGTAAAAAATAGACTACTATATTAGATTCCATGAAAATTAAGCAAAAAAAAACTAACAAATTTAAAAAGAGGTGACAGGGAGAAAATGTTCCCATATTTAGTAAAATGATCAATAATCAATAAATCTTTGCTAAATGAATGAATCCATGTTTAACACAGAGGAATATTCCTAATATTCAAAGAGTTCCTCATAAATCATTTATAGAACAAATCATCTAACATAATAGACAAACCAGACAAATGATTTTAAAAATAAACAATTTAAAAGGAAGAAATGAAAATCACAAACATTTTAAAATATGGACCACCTGAGTCACGCCCCCAAAAATACAAATTAGAATAACACTAAAATGGTGAGTTCTTTTTGGAGGGGGGCAAGAGAGTTAAGATTTTTTAAAACTCCCCTCTGACAAAGAATTAATAGCCAGAAGATATAAAGAGCTTAAACAACTCTATAGGAAAAAATTGAATGATCCGATCAAAAAATGGGCAAAAGATTTAAATAGACATTTCTCAAAAGAAGACATACAAATGGCAAACAGGTACATGAAAAGGTGCTCAACATCAGTGATCATCAGATAAATGCAAATCAAAACCACAATGCGATATCATCTTACCACAGTTAAAATGGCTTTTATCCAAAAGACAGGCAATAACAAATGCTGTTGAGAGTATGGAGAAAAGGGAATCCTTGCACACTGTTGTGGGAATGTAAATTAGTACAACCACTATGGAAAACAGTTTGGAAGTTCCTCAAAAAACTAAAAATTGAGCTACCATATGATCCAGCAAGCCCACTGCTGGATATATACTCAAAAGAAAGGAAATCAGTATATCAAAGAGATATTTGCACTCCTATGTTCATTGCAGCACTGTTTTTACAATAGCTAAGATCTGGAAGCAATCTAAGTGTCCCTCAACACATGAATGAATAAAGAAAACGTGGTTACATATACATAATGGAGTATTATTCAGCCATAAAAAAGAATAAGATTCAGTCATTTGCAACAACATGGATAGAAATGGAGATCATTATGTTACATGAAATAAGCCAGACACAGAAAGACAAATATTGCATGTTCTCACTTAATTGTGGGATCTAAAAATCGAATCAATTGAACTCATGAAGATAAAGAGTAGAAGGATGGTTACCAGAGGCTTGGAAGGTAGTAGAGGGTCACAGGGGGAGGTGGAGATGGTTAATGGGTACAAGAAAATAGAATGACTAAGACCTACTATTTGATAGCCCAATGGGGTGACTATAGTCAATAATAACTTAATTGTATATTTTGAAATAACTTAAATAATGTAACTAGATTATTTGTAACTCAAAGGATAAATGTTTGAGGGGATGGATGTCCCATTGTCCATGATGTGCTTATTTCACATTGTGTGCCTGTATCAAAACATTTCATGTGCACCGTAAATATATACACCTACTATGTACCCACCAAAAAATTAAAAATAAAAAAAATTAAATTAAAAAAAATTTTAAAAACTATTAAGTATAAAAATGCAGAAGACAGATAAAATTGTTGACTGAGCCATGGAAGAAAATAATCTCTTACACTTTGTGGGAGTGTAAAGTGGTAGCACAGAATCTGGCGAGGCTGTCAAGTCTCAGATTAATGGGAAAGAGATTTGGATTTCCAAAGGAAGTCACAGACTTCAATTGTCAAGAAGGCCAATTTAAGTACTTTTTACCTAAATTTCAAGGCTCTGTACATATGTATTCATGCGTCAGTATGTGAGTGTGCATGTGTGTGTGCATGCATCTGTGTATTAAAGGATAAATTTAAAACTACTAACAGTAATTGTCTGAGGAGTAGTAATAGGAGGAATATGGAGTTATTTTCACATTTCTAACTCTAATTTATGCATTTGTTAGACAAGGATGACATGTTGACACTTTTTAGTTTTTTAATTTTAGACATGAAATATAAAAATAGTTGGAGGCAGAAAATAATATGAGACACCCATGTTTAAAATCATTAACATTTTTACATATTTTCTTTAGAACTCTTTTTCTTTAAGAAATACAAACTCCCCAATAGATGAGATTTAGATTTCATTTTGCTTTCCCTTTCTGCTTTAAATTTCGCTTTCCCTTTCTCCTTCCTCAGATGGAATCACTATCTTGAATCTGGCGGTAGCTTTCCTTCAGCATGGTTTTATACTTCTCTACACATGTAAATATCCATGAACAATAAATTGTATTGTTTTGCTTTATGAAAACCACATATTTTATTGGGAATTTTAATAGCAAACTCATGGTCATGCCTGGCTAGCACCGTCTTATATCCTGAGTTTGGGGAACTGACAAGGTTGCTAATTACCCAGCCCTCAGGACATGTGTTAATAACAATGGAAGACAAATCGGTTGTGTTTTTCTGCCTTAGGTGCAAGGATCCTGAAAGAGAAACATTGGTTGTGTTTTTATTCCTTGGGTATAAGAATCCTGAAAGAGAAAGGCATCTGAACCTTGGAGGCATGGGGTTCATCTCATCCTCATCCAGCCTGTGATGATGGAGCTGTTTTCACCAGAAACGTGAGGAGACTCATACCACTTGAGGTAGTGTGGATGTGTGGCACAGTTTTGGAGAGGGCTATTCCCCTACCTTTACATGGAATCCAGTAACTCTCTGAAAACATAGCAATGGCAAAAGTCCTTTTCGAGACTGCAAGGAAAACAAACAACTACCAAGAGAAGTCCAAGCATCAGGGAAAGAATGAAGTGGTGTGGAGACCATAGCCAATAGCTGCTTTATGAGCACATTTGTGGCTACCCTTGGGGACCCAAGAAATAACCGGGTAAGAGGTAACTTTCCAAGAGAGGTTAAAGGTCCTACATGGTGGCTAGGAGCAAGAACAGGTTCAGGGATTTCACTTACTTGTTGAATAAACATGTCTTGTGCACCTGCTTCATGCAGAGACTGTGTTAGTTCAAAGACATACAATAGAAAAAAATACAACATATAGTCTGTGCTTTCATGGAGCTCAGTCATAGAGGCAATGAAGAAAAAAAGTAGCAAGGTCATGTGATAAAGAGATTCGGAGTAGGGGAACAACATTAGATATCATGATCCGGGAAGACTTCCTTGACGTGAGCATGAATACTATATGACAAGGAGAAATCAACCATGCATAGCTATGGAGAAAAAGTGTTGGACACAGAGGAAACAGCAGATATAGAGACCCAGTGGAGGTGGTTAGGTTGCTGTGTTCAATAAGTAGAAAGAAGGTTAGTAGGGATGAAGCATTTTAGATACGGGTGGGAGAGGAATGCAGAGTATTGTAGAGGCAGTAATATTTAGATTTTACTAAAATTATAAGGGTTATTAGTGTTTAAATGACCATTGGAGGAGCCTAGAACATATTACTTGTAGTGTAAACAATTCTTCTGACATATGGGTGATTGTATCTTGAAGGTAAAGGATTTTCCCTCATTATTGCACAGCTGAAAGAGGCAGTCAGTACAACAGTTACGATTATGGGGTTTAGAATTCAGATTTGGTTCAAATCCAAGCTCTACCTCCTACTTATTATATGTCTTTCTCAGGTCTCAATTTCATCATCTAAACATGGAGATAATACATCCAATTCTTTCTTTTTTCTTACCTCACAGGGCTGTTGTGAGGTATTAGTCATATGTAATTGTTTTGTAAATAATGACCTTGAAATATGCAAATCATTATATCACATGAACAAATTTGTAGAATAGAATGTTCTAGGACTGATTCTGATGAAATATATTACATGTTTCTGCTGTAATAACTGTATAGAATTAACTCTGATATCCTTGCTGATTGAGAAAATTAGGTAGTATAAAATTTGTTTTATTTCTCTCTAAAATAGAGTATATTTTATAGCATATTGGCTGTATAATTATATTTAGCCTTAGTTCTTAAATAATTTTTAGGCCTCTGAAAATGTATATTTCCAAAACCAAACTTCTTATCCCCCGACAACAGTCTTACTCTTTTTCACATATTCTTTGTTGGCATTCAACTATCCACCCACCAACCAAAGTGGAAATATTAATATTTCAACTCCCTACCCTTCATACCTACTCTCAGCCAGTCACCAAGGATGTCTCACTTCTGAGACACATCTCTTAAATTTAGGCCCCTCCCTCCCATTTCCCTAGACCTATCTTCCTTTGAAACCTCATCACCCACTTAGTTGACCAACAACTGATAATATTTCTTGAACACTCACTATGTGGGAGACACCCTTCTAAGCCCTTTACAATCTTCAAATTGCTCTATGAAAAAGTATTATTATCCACAACTTATATGTGGGGAAACCATGACACAAAGTGTTTAATCGTCTTTTCCAAGGTCATAAAGTTAACAAATGGCAGAGCCAATATTTGAACCCCAGTAAGTCTAAGACGTAAATGCTTCAGAGTTCCTCTGTGCTGGACTCCATGACACCACTATCCTCCTTACCCCAAACTTTCCTCTACATTACTGCCACAAAACTTTCCAAAACAAATCTGATCTTGTCATTTCTCTGCTTTTAATAACATCCTATTAGCTCATAATTGCCTTCAATAAAAACTTTTTAACATGAAAAAGAAGGCTACCTATCATTTAGCCCAACTTACTTTTCCCATTTTATCTGCTGTCCCCATACTCATTCCACAATTCTGTAGTCCTGTACCCTGAGATTTTCTATTTACTTTTTTTTTTTTTTTTTTTTTGAGACAGGGTCCCACTCTGTCATCCAGGCTGGAGTGCAGTGGTGTAATCTCAGCTCACTGTAACCTCCACCTCCTGGGATCAAGCAATTCTCCTACCTCAGCCACCTAAGTAGCTGGGAGTACAGGTGCGTGCCACCACATTCGGCTCATTTTTTTGTATTTTTAGTAGAGATGGGGTTTCACCATGTTGGCTAGGCTGGTCTTGAACTCCTGACCTCAAATGATCCACCCACCTCGGCCTCCCAAAGTGCTGGGATTACAGGCATGAGCCACCACACCTGTCCACCCTGAGATTTTCAAAGCACCATATCCAGGTCTCCTTGCTTCTGCATATGCTATGTTTCTACTTGAAAAGACATTGCCCCCATTTCTCTGCATATAGAAGTTTGACTTCAAAGTGTAAATCAATGGCATTGGCACTGAATCTAATTTTTATCATCCATAAAATAGGTGTAATAATTACTGTCTTTCTTAATTCATAAGATAATTATAAGAACCAAATGATATTATGTAAAACTGTATAAGAATAAAATATTTACATGATAGGGTGTTAGCCAAGCTATTCAACTACCTTTAAGGTTTTACAATCTTTCCCACCCACTTCAACCAGCCTTAGAAGGAGGAAGGATTCCTGACTTCTTATTATTAAAGTGACTAGGCCAAAGTGGAAAGCAGAAAGGAGATATTCAACCATCCTCGATGTCACACAGCTTGAGGGTTTGTATCTGAAGAGGGTAGGATCATGGTGAGTCACTGTTGATATGCAGGCAGATCAACAACAGTGAGAAAAATGAGGAAAAACAAATTTAAGATGGTTTTGATGCGTTTTATATATTTTACTTTTCATGTATTCTCAAGAAAGAGTCATGAGAATAGTTTTTGGATTGCCAACTGAGCTTTCTTTGAAAGCAAAGCTGTGTCAATACAAGACCACCAGGCACGTGGAGTTTATACAGGTGACCATGGTGGGTAAAACTCCCCCTTTGATTTTACCATGAAGATACATCCTCTCTTCTCTGTGCTTCCGCTGAACTTAGTTTCACCCCTGTTAAAACTTTCTGTATTATAATGACCCGTTTGACATCACACACACACACACACACACACACACACACACACACACACACACACACACACCCTGTAGATTATGAGTACCTCAGTGACAAAGACTAAATAATACTTATCTATGTGTTCCTAATATCTTCAGCCCAGGTTGCCTGAAAAGATGGAAATCCCAAGACAAGAAAAGGGCACAGTTCAGTTTCTCTGACTTCTTTTATTAAAGATTTCCATGGAGAGAACTCATTATGCTCTTGTAGTTAATTTTTTTTTTAGCTGTACTATTTGTCAAAAGCATCACTTTCCAGAAAAAAAAAAAAGATTGCCAAGAGACAAGAGGCTGAGGTCTAGAACTACCTCTGCCACCAACTAGATAGGTAACCTAGATAGTCCAGCTCATGTCCCTATGTCCCTCAGCCCAATCTCTCACCAGCAATTGAGAAATCAGGACTCAATAGTCTTTATGGATTGTTAAGCTCTAAAATTCAGTAATCCCATAGTGATACTTGTCCCCACATGTCTCTGGGAGGTACAAAAACAGAAATGTCCAGAGTGAGAGTTTTGCAGTTCGCCTGAGTTTCTGTTTTCCTGGGACCAACCACTGTTGTCACTTCCAGCTCTCCCCAACGGAAAGCTCTGTTCTTCACACCTGATCAGGAGGCTTAGAAAGAGACAAAGGCCAGAGAGAGTGGAAAATGATTTGCAAAGAAGCCAAAAGGGGAATTCTGTAACTGTGTATTTTTCCACTCCTTTCTAATTTAAAACCACTTACAAGTGACAACTCCCAACCCAAGGCAGGTGCCGCAGTAGCTCATTACACCCTCGGGACCCCATGTAAATCTTTTTTCTGAGAACAGCTATTGTCTTCCAAGGAAAAGCTTTTAGCATAATGGCAGGCTGAATAGAACATTGCTTTTGTAAGAATATTTTTAAGAAAAAGAAAAAGAAAGTTATTCTTTAACAACTGCAAATGCAGCCTCTTGCTTTTCCCCACCTCAGGCCCCCTGGAAAGAACAGTTGTGAGCCATAGGAGACTGTGGCAGGGGAGTGAGATTATCTCACCTCCAGAAACATAGAAAGGTTATGCTTTGCTGTTTTAGATTATAATAAATGCAGGGTGGCGGTGTCTCAGATTGCAAAAATAGCATATCCACCCCCTCCCAGCCACCTTTGTTGTTTCTTGACTTCTCACCAGTGAATCAGCCTGTGACTATTCATTTAGAGAATGAGGGTTTCTAATAGGAGAATGACATTTTCCCTCAGAAAATTCCCACAAATTCATTCCTTCTCTCAGATCACTCATGAGGACAGTCAAGACAATGTTGTTATAGGGTCTAAATGTAGAGATGTCCAGTTTGGCAATAAACTTTCTAAGAAAAATGAAGCATCTTCCAGAGATATAGCTCTCCAAACTAAAATGGGACTCAACTTTCTCCAGGCTAAAATGGTCATTTAGAATGCGAGGTTGTGAGAGCAATGTGGAGAAAAAAATGGAGAAGTTAAAAAAATGATAGTAGCCTTCACTAAGTAGTGTGTTCTGGTTGTGTGCATTTCTGGGTAATAGTCCAGTAAGACCAAAGCCTAAAGAGGGGTATCTGGGAATATGTTTGATGGATGCCATCTGCAAAATGGAGGTAAGACAACAAGTATAGGAAGGCCAAGAGCTCATTACTAAGAGGAATTTCCACACAAAGGCAACTCCATCTGTGTGAGAAGAAACAGAAAACAGGCATGGTTTTTCGGAAATGGCTGAGTCTGGGCAAAGGTAGAATCATTCTTCTTTCCAGGATTAGATAAATAATGACCCCCCAAGACTCTTTATTCTGATTGCTTTTTAGTTCTGCTTAAATTCAGCATCTTCTCTCAGTTCAAATTTAAGAAAGGAGATACCACACCACCCACCGACATATCCCATTCTGGAAGAGTATACAAACTAAAGATAGAAAACTTCTCAAATCTACCTGGAAGCTTGCATATTCAAAGGGTATGCTAATCAAAGTACCTATTCACATATAATGTGTTGAAGGATTTAAGTAGGCTAAATGTAATTATGCCAGACTACCATTAACCAATGGAGACTAGGCTCAGAAGGCACTGAAAAGAATTTCCTGGACTGATCGTGCCTACCAAGCCTATTCCCAAACAGCTTATGGGATATCTTCTGCTCCAACCTGTTGGAGCTCCTGTTCCATTTTCTTGGATTCTGTGTGTTCCTCCTCACTCCCGTTCTGCTGTGCAAAACCCAAATGCCCTGCCTGGCTTCCTTTGACATCCCAAATCCTACTAGTTAGGAAGGGCCTGGGCTTCCTAACTGCCCAACGCCTATTCATCACTCAGAGTCCCTGATGCCAGGCTGAGCTGTTGATCCTTTTGTAAAGGTTCCCTGCTACCGTCATTTTCTCCTTAAGCCCCCCTCTTCCATAATGACTTCAGTGACAATCTCCCAGAGAACTTCCCTGTTCACTGTCCCACTGAAAAGGGCAGAGAATGATTTTGCTCTTGAAGACCTGCCACAGTTTGGCTTTGAGGGCTCAAATATCAAGGTGTAAAGTAGTAAGTCTTCTTTATTGGGAGCATTTCAAAAAGGGACTGTCCTCAGTTCTCCAAATAGTGATAAAGTACACAGCTGGCAAATCTGGTGACGACTCAACTGAAAATAAGTTATCAAGAAAGTAAGGCTCAATGTTTTCAGGAAAATAACTTTAAAAAGAAAATGCTTTTGAAAAATAAATCAAACAAAATAAACACTTTTGGAAGACTCTCTGGAGCTCAGACCCTGGGAGGAACTAAAAGTAATCATTAAGTTGTCCTCAGTAATCTTCAGGTCCAGGACTTTAGACCAGATCATCAGGGGAACCAGCCTTGAGAGGGGAGTTCCCCCAGCATTCCATAGCCGTGGTCTTATTTCATGGAATTCTAAAGTAAGACTCAAGTAATAATCCCACACAGTGGAGAGAAAACCTTTATTTCCACTCATGCCTCCTTATGAGGGGTGAGTGACAGCTACTGAACCAGAAACTAGCTAAATTGCAGCTAAATGCAATCCCACACTGAAGCTACCCTAGTCCCTGAGAGGCAGGAAGCAGGTAAAACAATTTAATCTCACCTGAAGGGAGGCCTGGAGGCAGGAGAATCTTGAGCTGCAGGCTCATTTGCTGTTTTCTCCTGAATCAATACATCACATTTTATAATTCAAAGGAAAATAAGTAGTTCCATTTCTGATTTACAGGCATGGTTATTTGCACTTTGAAGGGTAGGCAGTGTTTATACTGGGCTGGGTTTTTTTTCTTCTTTTAGAAACACAGCAACGGCATGTGTTTATATATTCATATATATATAAGAATATATTCATATATATATAAGAATATATTCATATATATATAGTTACCATATATATAGTTACCTATATATATATAGCTACCATATATATATAGTTACCATATATATATATATATATATATATATATATATATTATACACAGACACGTACCCTGTATACATTTTTATTATGTAGCCCTGCTGAAACTGTGCCCCAGCACGTGGCTTAGGTCATGCAATCTCAGCTCTGTGCTGGGATCTGCTGGGTATGAAGAAAGGCCTTCAGGCAGAAAGAATTTTCTTTCTCCCTTCCTGCCACAGTATCTGAAGCATTCACCATGAAAATGCTTCCATTGGGTTAGGAAAGGAAAATAAAATTCGTTGTGAGCAAGAAGAGAGTAATACACTTATTTGTGGTCAATTTAGCATAAATGCTTTAACAACTCAGCTAGTATCTAATAATTTGAGGACAGAATGAGGAAGAGAGGAAGTTATGGCTCCAAGAGTGAAGCCAAAATGTTGATGCTGAACATGTGTTATAACAAAGGAGTCAGCACGTTTGTTGTGTGTGTGGAGTCTGGAATCAGAATAACAATGTTGAAAATCTGTCACCTCTACTGATCATAGTATTTAACCTTTCTGAGCTCCACTTACCCCATCTGTAAAATAAGGGGTCCTGAAATTAATCCCCATGATGAAAGATACCAATCAGCTACATAATCCATACAAATAGTATTTTCAGGGAGTGGGAAAAATAGGTTAAACCTTAAAGCTCTTCATGCATAATTTGGAAACAGAGAAGAGTAGTATCAGAAAGGCACTGGCCTTTGCCACTTTCTACCTTTATGACCTTAAATCACATCCAGGACCAGCTATGTAATTTGCAGGGCCCAGAGAAAAATGAAAAGGCAAGGCCCCTTGTTTAAAACTTTGTAAAGAATTTTATAAAGATAGTAGCAGAAAAGCATTAAGCAGAGTGCATGGCCCTTCTAAGCAGGAGAGCTCTGCAAATGTATAGGTGACACACCTATGAAGATGGCCCTAACTAGCCCTTTCATCTAGGTCAAAGCCTGGTTTCCTCAGGATCTAGCTCAATGATTGTCATTTGCAAGTGACAAAAAGAAAATGCATAGCATTTATCTGATACTTCTTGAGATGAACATCGGATATGTTAGCATGTGTTTAAAAGAAAAAAAAGCTGTTATGATCATAAGAGTGTACACTTACTATAACCCATCTTACAGAGCAAGCAGAAACCAGCCTCTTTTGATTCATATAAGGGTGTACTAAGAGATATTTTTTCTCTTTCTCTCTCTTTTTTTAACAGAACTATTTGTTGGAGTGCCAGATTATTTAAGGGCCTTTGCATGTTTCAAGTCCTCTTCTTAAAGTAAGAATACTCTCCACATTTATAACAGCAACAAAAACACCAATGTCAGCACAAAATGCAAAAACGGAGGCACTTCTATGTCATAATGATACATCAGAGTTCTGCTCAACTCTTTTTTAGAAAAAGAAGCTCAGACTTACACACATCCACTTTCTTAAATAAATAATTGTTCAATGAAAGTTACCCTGGGAGGATTGCTGTCTCCAGCTCCCAAGCACTGCTCATCTGCTGACGGGGGGTACTCTGTGACTGTTACAGAAATTGCTCTTAAATGCATAAAACACAGAAGAGAATTTTTGGAAAATCCCTTATTATTCATTAAAGCATTTTAGGGCCTCATTAATCCAGATGGGTTAATCGGTTGTTGATTTGCCAGGTTGTTAAGCATCCATTGTCAGATGCTGATGGGGTGTGAGAAAATATAATTCCGATCTACCAAAGAGTCACCTGAATGAGGCTAGCACTTCATCAGGGAAGGCTGTATCTTCCTCAGGGAAGGCTGTGTCTTCATCAGGGAAGGCTGTATCTTCCTCAGAGAAGGCTGTAGCTTCCTCAGAGAAGGGTGTATCTTTACCAGGGAAGGCTATGTCTTCATCAGGGAAGGCTGTATCTTCCTCAGAGAAGGCTGTATCTTCACCAGGGAAGGCTGTATCTTCATTACGGAAGGCAGTATCTTCTGGGGATAAATTAAGCTGGGCATCCAGCTTCTTCTTTAATTTCCAAAACTTCTCTGTATCACAAAACATTCCTCATTCTTTGGGTGTTTTTTTTTTGTTTTTTTGTTTTTTTTTTTTTTGCCTACCTAAGGTCTGAAATGATGTCAGAAGCCATTTTCAAAAGCTAGTTCGTAACAGGTCAACAGGTCAGTCGCACATATGCACTTAGGCACAGAAGCCCAACATTTAAAGATGTTTGTGTGTACGTGTCTGTATACGTGTATACACATCTGTGTATATGTTTGTGTCTACACATGTATACACGTCTAGGCGTATATGTTTGTGTCTACACGTCTGTGTATATGTTTGTGTCTACATGTGTCTATGTGTTTGTCTATATGTCCATATGCGTATATTTGTGTGTGTCTGCGTGTGTGTGCATGAGTTTGGCTTTGACTTTGTTTCAAAGTTCTTAGCTAGAGCCTGTCCACATCTTCAGCCCTTCAGACACAAATGGTATTCAGGTTATCAAGGGGATTCTTTAGCCAGGGCTTAAAAACTCAACTTTCTTTCTTTCCAAACCTTGACTGACTGAGAGTCACATAACAGCAGTGAGCACAGTGAGAAAAGTCCCTGGATTAGAAGTTGGAAAATATGATTCAGGGTCCTGGTTCTGTTTTAAGAGAGGAAGTGACCATCATTAGCAAACTGTCATTTCATCTGCCGGACAGTTTGAATTCATTTCATTTTCTCTCCCTTTAACAACAAAGCAACATTAATGTTTAACCTTTGTGTCACACCAAGAAAAGCTGGGGGTGTATTTCTACAAAGACAGACAGTCTCCAACCCTTTATGGAGCTTTTGATCTAAAAGAGACAGAATGCTTCCAAGACTATAAAGGACACCCTTAGTCAAATCTTCTACGAAGAGGATCCCATTTTACTCACGGAACTGCTCTAGATGCTCATCACTGTTGGACTCAGGCATGGCCGTGATGGTCACCAAGGGACACGGATTCCCTCCCAGCGTCTGGCAGAGAACATCTTGCCGGAAGTAGACCTCTTTGAGGTTGACACTCTTTTCCAGGATGTCAAGATGAGTCTGGAGCAGAAATAAAGCAGGCATGTATATTATCAACATTTTTTATAACAACAATAATAGAAAACAACAACGGCTTACATATAGTTTAGAAGTATTGTTGTTAATCTAATCTGTCCTTTATGTATTGGGCCTTGAGTGATTAAAAGGGGGCTATTTCTACTGTGTAGGAGAAACTCAGTGAGACTGAGCAGGAAGCATCATTCCTGCATGTTTTGGCATAACAGAAGATCTGTTTTCAAGTTGCACTGAAAGCAAGAGGGAGGAGGGCAGGGGCATAAAGCCCTCTTCCTATCGCTGTGACATACGAGGAAATCACAGAAAATGGAGACTCGGAAGGGTCAGGGGATGGGGTGGGGGAGGATCATGAGAAATGTGTTAATGGCTACAATGTACGTCATTTGGGTGATGGATACCCTAAAAGTGCTGGCTTGACCTTTGCTCAATCTATGCATGTAAGAAAACTTCACGCGTACCCATAAATTTGTACAAATAAAAATTAGCAAACAATTTAAAAAGAAAAGAGACAAATCTAAGCATGCCTTCCTTAAAATTAAAAAAAAATGTGGTTATCATGAAAATAGAACATGCCCAGAACACTGGGGAAAATGAGACAGAAAACTTCTACAGCACATAGTATCACAGGGCAAAGTAATAGGGAGAAATGTGAGCACATTGAAAAAATAATAGACGTGGTTAATCCAGGGGGACTGCTAAGCTAAAAGAACAACTAACTAATAGCAACAAATTTTTCCTACCATACCTCCCCAATACTCATTTAAAAAAAAAAATGAAATAGCCATTGAAATTAGGACACCTGGTGAACAATCCTTTTTTTTTTTTTTTTTTTTTTTTGAGACAAAGTCTCACTCTGTCAACCAGGCAGGCTGGAGTGCAGTGGCGCAATCTCAGATCATTGCAACCTCCACCTCCCAGGTTCAAGCGATTCTCCTGCCTCAACCTCCTGAGTAGCTGGGATTACAGGCACCCACGACCACACCCAGTTAATTTTTGTATTTTTAGTAGAGAGTGGGGTTTTGCCATATTGGCCAGGCTGATCTCGAACTCCTGACCTCAGGTGATCCACGCTGCTTGGCCTCCCAAAGTGCTGGGATTACAGCCATGAGCCACCACATCCCGCCCCTGGTTAACAATCTTTAAGAATTCCGAAGAAATTTTCCCTAATCAAAACAGGGGCACCAGTCATAGAGAGGCTAAGAGATTTTCCCCACCTGCACTGCATCCCCTGACAGTGGAAATTTCAGTAACCAGAGAGGGAAACACTGCCCCCTCTGTAGCACAAAAACACCACTGCCCAAAAATTATCCTCCCAGCTTAAAATGTAGAAAGTTTTTTCCACAATCAAGGAGGTATTAAGAGGGCCAAGGAGAAACCGCCCACCTTGTTTCTTGACAAATAACTAGCCTGCTGGGTAAATGAAACAAAAAACTCATGAATTTTTTAATAAAATGAATATGTAAAAATATTGACAAATATATAAAATATATGGAAAGGGAAGTAGTGTCTTCAAAAGGTAGAGGAAGTATTTACATGTGGAAATAACTTACTACAGATATGGTAAGAAGAATAGTGGCCCCCAAAGATGTTCACGTTCTCACCTTCAGAACCTTTGGTAGGATACCTCACATGGTGAAAGGGACTTTGCAGACATGTTTAAGATTAAGGTCTACTTGAAATGGGGAGGTCGTCCTGCACTGTCCAGTTGTGGCCAATCTAATCACAACATGATTAAAAGCAGAGGCCCTTTCCTGGCTGCAGAGAACAACTGCTGGCCCCATAAGACCTCAGTCTTCCCTTGCTGGCTTTGAAGATGGAGAAAGGCATCACCAGCCAAGGAATGCAGGTGGCCTCTAGAAGCTGGAAAAGGAAAGGAAACACACTCTCCCCACAGAGCCTCCAGAAGAAACACAACCCCAAAACCCTGGTCTTCGCCCAGTGAGATTCATGTCAAACTTCTAACCTAAAAAGCTGTACAATTTTTTTTAAAAAAAGTACCTGTTCCTGTTGAAGCCACTACATTTTTTGTAGTTTGTTACTGCAGCAATAGACAACTAACATACAAGGGAAAAAGAATGTCCTAAAGTAAGTACAAATCCCGACATCTGAATAGGAATAGACTAAAACCTATTTATACTCTACTGAAATAGTTGAATTGCAAGGAAAAAGAAAAAGTGCCAAGAAAAGAAAAGATTACCAGATAATTCTATGGCCTTTCTCTAGCCTCAGGGGCACCTGAAAATTTGACCTTGAGTCATATTCTCCTTAAAACTGAGAACCAAAATCATTTACCCACACATAGCTTACTGTCTACATTAACATGACTATTATTCCCCAACCTTCATCAGCATAACCTTACTGCTCTGGGAAGACAGAAATTACAAATAAATATATTGTTCATTTCAGGAATATCCCATCAACTCTTCAATAGAAAGCATCAACCCATCTTTGAGCCAAGATTCTTTGAATCCCTCTTCTCACCCTTTTTCAAAATCCTTGCCTTACAGTGTCCACCAATCTTAAACCATTACTTGGTGATCCTTACCCAACCCTAATCAATGCCCCCACATTAAAATATCTGCCTTTAAGCCAGGCTTTAAGGTCTCAATAAATATCCCCACTTTGCCCTCTGCCCTTTGAGACACTAGTAAGACTCTGTCCCATTCTTTCTCCTTTGTCAAGTAAATTAGTTTCCTACTACTGCTGGAATCATCACAAATTTTGTAGGTTAAGACAACACAAATTTATTATCTTATAGTTCTGAAGGTCAGTAGTCTAAAATGGGTCCCACTGGGCAAAATTCAAGGTGTCAGTAGGGCTGCATTCCTTTTGGAAGCTCTATACAAGATCTCTTCCCTTGCCTTTTCTAGCTTCTAGAGGTCACCTGCATTCCTTCACTCATGGTACCTCCCTCCACCTTCAAAGCCAAAAATTGCATCACTCTGACTTCTGCATCCATTCAGTCCCATTTTTTTCTCTGGCTCTGATTCTCTTATCTAATTCTTTCACTTATAAGGACTCTTGTGATTACCCCGCACCCAATCTGATAATCAAGGTTAATCTCCCCATCTTAAAGTCTCTAATCACATCTTCAAAGTCCCCTTACCATGTAAAGTAACATCTTCACAGGATTGCGATGTGGACATTTTGGAGGTCCATTATTCTGCCTACCATGCCAACATGAGCAATAAACCCAACTGTGTCTTAGAAACAGGTTGTTCTTGTGATGTTCCAGAAAGCCAGGATTTGACACAACACTAAGTAAAGGAATTATAAGAAGCATGTTTATACCAGATTCAAGATAAATAAAAATCCAGCAGAGGCCCATGTATCTAACCAAATCTTTGTATGTAATTGTTATGATTGTCCATCAAATAACGAGTATCAGGTATTGATGAGATGCACCTGCATTGGAGATTGGGAGGGAGCCACATACCCCTGAGAATACAAGATGACTAACTACACATACACAAGCACACACACACAACCTACACAACTAGCTAAGCATGAAATCTGAAGGAAGCCCAAGGCTGATAGTATTCCTAGGCTGAGATGGATATGTCCCACTCAACCTAATCTCTCATGACCACATAATTCCATAGTGAGGAGTTACTAGGACAAAGTAAGCTGTGCCTGGGAGTCCAGACTCTCACTAAGCCCTTTCTATGTGTGCTGTTTTGTTGCCTTCTCTGTATTCTTTCTTATGGATAAGTAAATTTACTTCTGGATAAAGCCTAACCTGTGTGTTTGATTGCCAATCTTAACTCACTGCTCATTGTTGCATAGAATGACACTTGCATGCTACACTGAAGATTATTTTTAAACATGTATGTGTCTCTGTGTGGTGTGTGTGTGTATGTGTCTCTGTGTGTGTGCATAAATAAACCCATTGTACATATATGTATACAAAAAAATCATTCTTGGCTCATATTTCTTCTGCAACACTACATGCTAGAGGAAATGAGTACTGCTTAGATCTTGAAAGAAGAGGGGATTATAATCTAATAAACCTATATCCAACCAAGTTTTTGCTCATGAGCAAATGTAGCATGTATGCTCAGACATACAAAAGCTCAGACAACATACTACCTTATCTTTATTGAAAATAAGGACTTGGTCCAGTCTATCACTGTTGGACATTTGGGTTGGTTCCAAGTCTGGATTAAGAAAATGTGGCACATATACACCATGGAATACTATGCAGCCATAAAAAATGATGAGTTCATGTCCTTTGTAGGGATATGGATGAAATTGGAAATCATCATTCTCAGTAAATTATCGCAAGGACAAAAAACCAAACACCGCATATTCTCACTTATAGGTGGGAATTGAACAATGAGAACACATGGACACAGGAAGGGGAACATCACACTCTAGGGACTGTTGTGGGGTCGGGGGAAGGGGGAGGGATGGCATTAGGAGATATACCTAATGCTAAATGACGAGTTAATGGGTGCAGCACACCAGCATGGCACATGTATACATATGTAACTAACCTGCACACTGTGCACGTGTACCCTAAAACTTAAAGTATAATAATAATAAAATAAAAAAAATAAATAAAAAATAATAAGAAAATAAGGACTTGGCCCAGGTGCAGTGGTTCACACCTGTAATCCCAGCACTCTGGGAGGCCGAAGCAGGTGGTTTGCTTAAGCTCAGGAGTTCAAGACCAGCCTGGGCTACATGGCAAGACCCCATCTCTACTAAAAATACATAAAAATTGCTGGGCATGGTGGTGCACACCTGTGGTCCCAGCTACGTGGGAGGCTGAGGTGGGAGGATCACTTGAGCCTGGGAGGTCAAGGCTGCAGTGAGCCTAGATCAAGTCACTGCACTCCATCCTGGGTGACAGAGCGAGACCCTGTCTTAAAAATAGAAAAAAAAAAAAAAAAAGAAAGAAAAGAAGGACTTGAAGACACACTTCAGCTGCCCCCAAATCAAACAGAAAAGCAATATAAAAAGACTAAAATAAAACCCAGTTAAACAAGCTTACATCTAAATGACTATCTAAAAATATGGTTACTATATTAATATAAACATTAAAAAATAATTCTTTAGGGAGACAGTACACATTATCAAATTTTGATGTCATCACCTAGCTCTAAAATGAACTTAAAAAGAGATGTACAAGGGAGGAAAAAGGTGGAACAAAATGTTAATGTTTTCAACTTACATCGATATAGTAATATTATTTAATTCTTGAAAACTGAAAGGCAGTACTTAGTATTGTGCCAAATAAATGCAAACTCTCTAGAATATCACTAGAACAATGGGTCTCTAAAACAGAGTTGAGTTTATTGCTTATGTTGGTGTGATAGGCAGAATAATGGCCCTCCAAAGATGCCCATATTCTAATCCCTGCAACCTGTGAAGATGTTATTTTACACAGTAAAGGAACTTTGAAGATGTGATTAGGAAATTTGAGATGAGGAGACTATCCTGGATCATCAGGTTGGGTGCAGGGTAATGACAAA